>NC_000020.11:30811898-31001508 GCF_000001405.40 Homo sapiens | reverse complement strand
GAATTCTTAGAAACTTCTAGGTGATGTGTGCATTTCACTCACAGTGTTGAACCTTTCCTTTGATAGAGCAGTTTTGAAACACTCTTTTTGTAGAATCTGCAAGTGGATATTTGGAGAGCTTTGAGGCCTGTGGTGGAAAAGGAAGTATCTTCACATAAAAACTAGACAGAAGCATTCTCAGAAACTTCTTCATGATGCTTGCATTCAACTCACTGAGTTGAACATACCTTTTCTTAGAGCAGTTTTGAAACACTCTTTTCGTAGAATCTGCAGGTGGATGTTTGGAAGGCATTGAGGTCTTCGTTGGAAAAGGGAATATCTTCACATACAAGCTAGACAGAAATATTATCAGAAACTTCTTTGTGATGTGTGCATTCAACCCACAGAGTGGAACCATTCTTTTGATAGAGCAGTTTTGAAACACTCTTATTGTAGAATCTGGAAGTGGACACTGGGAGAACTTTGAGGCCTATGGTGGAAAAGGAAATATCTTTACATAAAAACCAGACTGAAGCACTCTCAGAAACTACTTAGTGATGTTTGCATTCAACTCGCAGAGTTCAACATACCTGTTTATAGAGGTTTTCTGAAACACTCTTTTCATAGAATCTGCAAGTGGATATTTGGACTCCTTGGAGGCCTTCATTGGAAACAGGAATATCTTCACATAAAAACCAGACAGAAGCATTCTCAGAAACTTGTTTGTGATGTTAGCATTCAACTCACAGAGTTGAACATACCTTTTCATACAGCAGTTTTGAAACTCTCTTTTCGTAGAATCTGCAAGTGGATATTTGGACTGCTTTGAGGCCTTCTTTGGAAATGCGAATATCTTCACATAAAACCTAGACAGAAGCATTCTCAGAAACTTCTTTGTGATCTGTGCATTCAACTCACAGAGTTGAACCTTTCTTTTGATAGAACAGTTTTGAAACACTCTTTTGGTAAATTTGAAAGTTGATATTTGGAGAGCTTTGAGACGTACGGTGGAAAAGGAAATATCTTCACATAAAAACTAGACAGAAGCATTCTTAGAAACATCTTTGTGATGTGTGCATTCAACTCACAGAGTTGAACCTTTCTTTTGATGGAGCAATTTTGAAACAATCTTTTTGTATAATCTGCAAGTGGACATTTGTAGAGCTTTGAGGCCTGTGTTGGAAGAGGGAATATCTTCACATAAAAACCAGACAGAAGCATTCTCAGAAACTACTTTGTGACGCTTGCATTCAACTTACAGAGCTGAACATACCATTTCATATATCAGTTTTGAAACACTCTTTTCGTAGAATCAGAAATTGGATATTTGGACAGGTTTGAGGCCTTCGTCGGAAATGGGAATATATTCACATAAAAACTAGACAGAAGCATTCTCAGAAACTTCTTTGTTATATTTTCATTCAACTTACGGAGTTGAACATACCTTTTCACAGCCCAGTTTTGAAAAACTCTTTCCGTGGGATTTGCAAGTGGATATTTAAGCTGCTTTGAGGCCTTCGCTGGAAATGGGTATCTATTAACAAAAAAAACTAGACAGAAGCATTCTCAGAAACTTCTTTGTGATATGTGCATCCAACTCACAGACTTGAACTTTTGTTTTGATAGAGCAGTTTTGAAAAACTCTTTTCGTAGAATGTGCAAGTGGACACTTGGAGTGCTTTTAGGCCTACGGTAGAAAAGGAAATATCTTTACAAAAAAACTAGACAGAAGCATTCTCAGAAACTTCTTTGTGATGTTTGGGTTCAACTCACGTTGTTGAACATACCCGTTCATAGGGCAGTTTTGAAACACCCTTTTCTTAGAATCTGCAAGTGGATATTTGGACTGCTTTGAGGCCTTCGTTGGAAACGGGGATAACTTCACATAAAAACTAGACAGAAGCATTCTCAGAAACTTCCTGTTGATGTGTGCATTGAACTCACAGATTTGAACCTTTGTTTTGATAGAGCAGTTTTGAAACACTCTTTTTGTAGGATCTGCAGTTGGACATTAGGAGAGCTTTGAGGCCTACAGTGCAAAAGGAAGTATCTTCGCATAAAAACTAGACAGAAGTATTCTCAGAAACTTGTTTGTGATGTTTGCATTCAATTCACAGAGTTGAACATACCTTTTCTAACAGCAGTTTTGAAACACTGTTTTCGTAGAATCTGCAAGTGGATATTTTGACTCCTTTAAGGCATTCATTGGGAATGGGAATATATTCCCATAAAAACTAGACAGAAGCATTCTCAGAAACTCCTTTCTGATGTTTGCGTTCAACTCACAGACTTGAAGCTTTCTTTTGATAGAGCAGTTTTGAAACACTCTTTTTGTAGAATCTGCCAGTGGACATTTTCAGAATTTTGAGGCCTACGGTGGAAAAGGAAATATGTTCACAAAAAAACCAGTCAGAAGCAGTCAGAAAATTCTTTGTGATGTTTTCTTTCATCTCACAGAGTTGAACATACCTTTTCATAGAGCAGTTTAGAAACACTCTTTTCGTAGAATCTGTAAGTGGATATTTGGACTGCTTTGATGCCCTCATTGGAAACGGGAGTATCTTCACATAAAAACTAGACAGAAGCATTCTCAGAAACTTCTTTCTGGTGTGTGCATTCAACGCACAGACTTACACCTTTCCTTTGATAGAGCAGTTTTGAAACGCTCTTTTTGTAGAATCTGCAAGTGGACATTTGGAGCGCTGTGGGTCCTGTGGTGGAAAAGGAAATACCTTCACATAAAAACTAGAAAGAAGCATTCTCAGAAAATTCTTTGTGATGTTTGCATTCCACTCACAGAGTTGAACATACTTTTCATAGAGCAGTCTTGAAACACTCTTTTCGTAGAATCTCCAAGTGGATATTTGGACTGCTTTGAGTTCTTCGTTGCAAACGGGAATATCTTCCCATAAAATCTAGACAGAAGCATTCTCAGAAACTTCTTTGTGATGTGTGCATTCAACTCACAGAGTTGAAACTTTCTTTTGATAGAGCAGTTTTGAAATATTCCTTTTTATAATCTGCACGTGAACATTTTGAGATCTTTGAGGACTACGTTGGAAAAGGAAATATGTTCACAAAAAAACTAGTCAGAAGGAGTCTCAGAAACTTCTTTGTGATGTTTGCATTCAACTAACAGAGTTGAACATATCTTTTCATAGAGCAGCTTTGAAACACTCTTTTCGTAGAACCTGCAGTTGGATATTTGGACTCCTTAAAGGTATTCGTTGGAAATGGGAATATCTTCACATAAAAAATAGAAGCATTCTCAGAAATATTTTGTGATGTGTGCATTCAACACACAAGGTTGAAGATTTCCTTTGATAGAGCAGTTTTGAAACACTCTTTTTGTAGAATATGCAAGTGAACATTTTGAGAACTTTGAGGCCTACGGTGGAAAAGGAAATATGTTCACAAAAAAACTAGTCAGAAGCAGTCTCAGAAACTTCTTTCTGATGTTTGCATTCATCTCATAGAGTTGAACATGCCTTTCAATAGAGAACTTTTGAAATACTCTTTTCGTATATCTGCAATTAGATATTTGCACTGCTATGAGAACTTCTTTGGAAACGGGAATTTATTCACATGAAAAATAGACAGAAGCATTCTGAGAAACTTCTTTGTTGTGTGTGCATTCAACACGCAGACTTGAACCTTTCCTTTGATAGAGCAGTTTTGAAACACTCTTTATCAAGTAAATGCAAGTATACATTTGGAGAGCTTTGAGGACTATGGTGGAAAAGGAAATGTCTTCACATAAAAACAGACAGAAGAATTCTCATAATCTTCTTTGTGATGTCTGTATTCAACTCACAGAGTTGAACATAGCTTTTCATAGATCAGTTTTGAAACACTCTTTTCGTAGAATCTACAAGTGTATATTTGGACTGCTTTGAGGCCTTTGTTGGAAATGGGAATGTCTTCCCATAAAAAAGAGAGAAGCATTCTCAGAAACTTCATTGTGATGTGTGCCTTCAACTCACAGACTTGAACTTTTCTTTTGATTGAACAGTTTTGAAAACCTCTTTTTGAAGAATCTGAAAGTGGACATTTGGAGAGCTTTCAGGCCTCCGGTGGAAAAGGAAATATCTTCACATAAAAACTAGGCAGAAGCATTCTCAGAAACGTCTTTGGGATGTTTCCATTCAACTCACAGAGTTGAACATACCTGTTCATAGAGCAGTTTTTAAACACTATTTTCGTAGAATCTGCAAGTGGATATTTGGACTGTTTTGAGGCCTTCGTTGGAAACGGGAATATCTTCACATAAAAACTAGACAGAAAATTCTCAGAAACTTCTTTGTGATGTGTGCATTCAACTCACAGAGTTGAACCTTTCTTCTGATAGAGCAGTTATGAAACACTTTTTTTGTAGAATCTGCAAGGGGACATTTGGAGAGCTTTGAGGCCTATGACGGAAAAGGAAATATCTTCACATAAAAACTAGACAGAAGCATTCTCAGAAACTTCTTTGTGATGTTTTCATTCAACTCACGGAGCTGAACATACCCTTTAATAGCCCAGTTTTGAAACACTCTTTTCGTAGAATCTGCAAGTGGATATTTTGACTGCCTTGAGGCCTTCGTTGGAAATGGGAATATATTTCCATAAAAACTAGACAGAAGCATTCTCAGAAACTTCTTTGTGATGTGTGCATCCAACTCAGATACTTGAACTTTTCTTTAGATAGAGCAGTTTTGAAAAACTCTTTTTGTAGAATCTGCAAGTGGACATTTGGAGTGCTTTTAGGCCTACGGTGGAAAAGGAAATATCTTCTCGAAAAAACTAGTCAGAAGTATTCTCAAAAACTCCTTTGTGATGTTTGCATTCAACTCACAGTTGGACATACCTGTTCATAGGGCTGTTTTGAAACACTCTTTTCTTAGAATCTGCAACTGGATATTTGGACGGCTTTGAGGCCTTCTTTGGTAATGGGGATATCTTCACATAAAAACTAGACAGAAGAATTCTCAGAAACTGCTTTTTGATTTGTGCATTCACCTAAAGGGTTGCACCTTTCTTTTGATAGAGCAGTTTAGAAACAATCTTTTTGTAGAATTTGCAAGTGGACATTTGGAGACCTTTGAGACCTATGGTGTAAAAGGAAATGTCTTCACTTAAAAACTAGACAGAAGCATTCTCAGAAACTACTTTGTGGTGTTTGCATTCAACTCACAGAGTTGAAGCTTTCTTTTGATAGAGCAGTTTTGAAACAGTCTTTTTGTAGAATCTGCAAGTGAACATTTGTAGTGCTTTGAGGCCTATGGTGGAAAAGGAAATATCTTCACATAAAAACCAGACAGAAGCATTCTCACAAACTTCTTTGTGATGTTTGTATTCAACTCACAGAGTTGCACATACCTTTTAATAGATCAGTTTTGAAACACTCTTTTCGGAGAATCTGCAATTGGGTATTTGCAATACTTTGAATTCTTCGTTGTAAACGGGAATATCTTCACATAAAAACTAGAAAGAATCATTCTTAGAAAGGGTTTTCTGGTGTGTGCATTCAACTCACAGAGTTGAATCTTTCTTTTGATAGAGCAGTTTTGAAACACTGTCTTTGTAGAATCTGCAAGTGAAAATTTGGAAATCTTTTAGGCCTATGGTGGAAAAAGAAATATCTTCACATAAAAACCAGACAGAAGCTTTCTCAGAAACTTTTTTGTAATGCTTGCATTCAACTCACAGAGTTGAACATACCTTTTCATACAGCAATTTTGAAACACTCTTTTTGTTGAATCTGAAAGTGGATATTTGGACTGGTTTGAGGTCTTCGTTGGAAATGGGTATATATTCACATAAAAACTAGACAGAAGCATTCTCAGAAACGTCTTTCTGATGTGTGCATTCAACTCACAGAGTTGAATCTTCCTTTTAATAGAGCAGTTTTGAAACACACTTTTTGTAAAATCTGCAAGTGGACATTTGGAGAGCTTTGAGGCCTATGGTGTAAAAAGAAATATCTTCACCTAAAAATTAGACAGAAGCATTCTCAAACTTCTTTGTGATGTGTGCATTCAACTCACAGAGTTGAACCTTTCTTTTCATAGGGCAGTTTTGAAACACTCTTTTTGAAGTATCTGCAAGTGCGCATTTGGAGAGCTTTGTGGCCTATGGTGGAAAAGGAAATATCTTCACATAAAAAATAGACAGAAACATTCTCAGAAACTTCTTTATGATGTGTGCATTCAACTGACAGAGTTGAACCTTTCTTTTGATGGAGCAGTTTTGAAACACGCTTCTTGTAGAATCTGCAAGTTTATATTTGGAGAGCTTTAAGTCCTTCGTTGGAAGCGGGAATATCTTCACATAAAATCTAGACAGAGACATTCTGAGAAACTTCTTTGTGATGTGTGCATTCAATTCACAGAGTTGAACTTTTCTTTTGATACAGCAGTTTTGAAACACTCTTTTCGTAAAATCTGCAAGTGGACATTTGGAAAGCTTTGAGTCCTATGGTGCAAAAGGAAATATCCTCACATAGAAACCAGACAGAAGCATTCTCAGAAACTTCTTTGTGATGTTTCCTTTCAACTCACAGAGTTGAACATACTTTTCATAGAGCAGTTTTAAAACACTCTTTTCATAGAATCTGCAAGTGGATATTTGGACTGCTTTGAGGCCCTCGTTGGTAACGGGAATATCTTCACATAAAAACTTGACAGAAGCATTCTCAGGAACTTCTTTGTGATATGTGTATTCAACTCACAGAGTGGAACCTTTCTTTTGATAGAGCAGTTTTGAAACAGTCTTTTTGTACCATCTGCAAGTGGACATTTGAAAGCTTTGAGACCTATGGTGGAAAAGGAAATATCTCCACATAAAAACCAGACATAATCATTCTAAGAAAATTCTTTCTGATGTTTGCATTCAACAAAGAGAGATGAACATACCATTTATAGAATAGTTTTGAAACACTCTTTTCGTAGAATCTGCAAGTGGATAATTGGACTGCCATGAGGCCTTCATTGGAAACGGGAATATCTTCACATAAAAACTAGACAGGAGCATTCTCAGAAACTTCTTTGTGATATGAGCATTCAACTAACAGGTTTGAAACTTTCTTTTGATACAACAGTTTTGAAACACTCTTTTTGTAAAATCTACAAATGGACATTTGGAGAACTTTGAGGTCTATGGTGGAAAAGGAAATATCTTCACGTAAAAACTAGACAGAAGCATTCTCAGAAACTTCTTTGTGATGTTCGCATTCAGCTCACAGAGTTGAACATACCTGTTCATAGAGCATTTTGGAAACACTCTTATCATAGAATCTGCAAGTGGATATTTGGACTGCTTTGAGGCCTTCGTTGGTAACGGGAATATCTTCACATAAAAACAAGACAGAAGCATTCTCAGAAACTTCTTTGTGACGTGTGCATTAAACTCACAGAGTTGTACCTTTCTTTTGAAAGAGCAGTTTTGAAACACTCTTTTTGTAGAATCTGCAAGTGAACTTTTGTAGTGCTTTGAGGCCTATGGTGGAAAAGGAAATATCTTCACAAAAAAATTAGGCAGAAACATTTTCAGAAACTTGTTTGCGATGTTTGCATTCAACTCACAGGTTTGAACAGACCTGTTCATAGAGCAGTTCTGAAACACTCTTTTCTTAGAATCTGCAAGTGGATATTTAGACTGCCCTGAGGCCTTCGTTGGAAATGGGAATATCTTCACATAAAAACTAGACAGAAACATTCTCAGAAACTTCTTTGTGATGTGTGCATTGAACTCACAGGTTTGAACCTTTCTTTTGATGGAGCAGTTTTTAAACACTTTTTTTTATTATTATACTTTGTTTTAGCGTACATGTGCATATTGTGCAGGTTTGTTACATATCTATACATGTGCTATGTTGGTGTGCTGCACCCACTAACTCGTCATCTAGCATTAGGTATATCTCCCGATGCTATCCCTCCCCCCTCCCCCCTTCCCACAATAGTCCCCAGAGTATGATATTCTCCTTCCTGTGTCCATGTGATCTCATTTTTCAATTCCCACCTTTGAGTGAGAATATGCGGTGTTTGGTTTTTTGTTATTGCGATAGCTTACTGAGAATGATGAATTCCAATTTCATCCATGTCCCTACAAAGGACATGAACTCATCATTTTTTATGGCTGCATAGTATTCCATGGTGTATATGTGTCACATTTTCTTAATCCAGTCTATCATTGTTGGACATTTGGGTTGCTTCCAAGTCTTTGCTATTGTGAATAATGCTGCAATAAACATACGTGTGCATGTGTCTTTATAGCAGCATGATTTATAGTCCTTTGGGTATATACCCAGTAGTGGGATGGCTGGGTCAAATGGTATTTCCAGTTCTAGATCCCTGAGGAATTGCCACACTGACTTCCACAATGGTTGAACTAGTTTACAGTCCCACCAACAGTGTAAAAGTGTTCCTATTTCTCCACATCCTCTTCAGCACCTGTTGTTTCCTGACTTTTTACTGATTGCCATTCTAACTGGTGTGAGATGGTATCTCATTGTGGTTTTGATTTGCATTTCTCTGATGGCCAGTGATGATGAGCATTTTTTCATGGGTTTTTTGGCTGCATAAATGTCTTCTTTTGAGAAGTGTCTGTTCATATCCTTTGCCCACTTTTTGATGGGGTTGTTTGTTTTACAAGGGATGTGAAGGACCTCTTCAAGGAGAACTACAAACCACTGCTCAAGGAAATAAAAGAGGATACAAACAAATAGAAGAACATTCCATGCTCATGGGTAGGAAGAATCAATATCGTGAAAATGGCCATACTGCCCAAGGTAATTTACAGATTCAATGCCATCCCCATCAAGCTACCAATGCCTTTCTTCACAGAATTGGAAAAAACTACTTTAAAGTTCATAGGGAACCAGAAAAGAGCCCACATCGCCAAGTCACTCCTAAGCCAAAAGAACAAAGCTGGAGGCATCACACTACCTGACTTCAAACTATACTACAAGGCTACAGTAACCAAAACAGCATGGTACTGGTACCAAAACAGAGATATAGATCAATGGAACAGAACAGAGCCCTCAGAAATAATGCTGCATATCTAAAACTATCTGATCTTTGACAAACCTGAGAAAAACAAGCAATGGGGAAAGGATTCCCTATTTAATAAATGGTGCTGGGAAAACTGGCTAGCCATATGTAGAAAGCTGAAACTGGATCCCTTCCTTATACCTTATACAAAAATCAATTCAAGATGGATTAAAGACTTAAACGTTAGACTTAAAACCATAAAAACCCTAGAAGAAACCCTAGGCATTACCATTCAGGACATAGGCATGGGCAAGGACTTCATGTCTAAAACACCAAAAGCAATGGCAACAAAAGCCAAAGTTGACAAATGGGATCTAATTAAACTAAAGAGCTTCTGCACAGGAAAAGAAACTACAATCAGAGTGAACAGGCAACCTACAAAATGGGAGAAAATTTTCACAACCTACTCATCTGACAAAGGGCTAATATCCAGAATCTACAATGAACTCAAACAAATTTACAAGAATAAACACTCTTTTTGTAAAATCTGCAAGTGGACATTTGGAGAACTTTCAGGCCTACAGTGGAAAAGGAAACATCTTCACATAAAAACTAGATAGAAACATTCTCAGAAACTTCTTTGCGATGTGTGCATTCAACTCATAGAGTTGAACATACCTTTTCTTAGAGCAGTTTTGAAACACTCTTTTCGTAGAACCTGCAAGTGGATATTTGGACTACTTTGAGGCCTTCATTGGTAAGGGGAATGTCTTCACATAAAAACTATACAGAAGCATTCTCAGAAACTTCTTTGTGATGTGTGCATTCAATTCACACAGTTGAACATAACTTTTCTTTTCTTTTTTTTAATTAAAATGTTCTTTATTTATATATTAGGCCTATTTGTTGAAAGAGACAAAAAATCCAACTTGAACTCATTTACATCAGAAAAGAATTGATTGTAAAGTAGCAGCAAAGTTTTCGCAGTAATGTTGAATTCAGACATGGATTCAAATCTTGTCAAGACTCCATTTCCCTTTATGTCTTTGTTCTGTCTTCGTCTATATTATTTTCTTTTTTTTTCTAGTTTTTGTTTTTTTAATTATTATTCTTAATTTTTAGGATACATGTGCACAATTTGCCAGTTAATTACAAATGTATACATGTGCCTTGCTTGTGCACTGCACCCACTATCTCTTCATCTAGCATTAGGTATATCTCCCGATGCCATCCCTCCCCCCTCCCCCCCCAAAACAGTCCCCAGAGTGTGATGTTCTCCTTCCTGTGTCTATGTGTTTTCATTGTTCAATTTCCACGAATGAGTGAGAATATGCGGTGTTTGGTTATTTGTTCTTGCGATAGTTTACTGGGAATGATGATTTCCTGTTTCATCCACGTCCCTACAAAGGACATGAACTCATCATTTTTTATGGCTGCATAGTATTCCTTGGTGTATATGTGCCATATTTTCTTAATCCAGTCTATCATTGTTGGACATTTGGATTGGTTCCAAGTCTTTGCCATTGTGCATAGTGCCACAATAAACATATGTGTGCATGTGTCTTTATAGCAGCATTATTTATAGTCCTTTGTGTAAATACCCGGTAATGGGATTGCCAGGTCAAATGGTATTTCTAGTTCTAGATCCCTGAGGAATCGCCACACTGACTGCCACAATGGTTGAACTAGTTTAGAGTCCCACCAACAGTGTAAAAGTGTTCCTATTTCTCCACATCCTCTCCAGCACCTGTTGTTTCCTTTTTATTGATTGCCATTCTTACTGGTGTGTGACAGTATCTCATTGTGGTTTTGATTTGCATTTCTCTGATGGCCAGTGAGGGTGAGAATTTTTCATGTGTTTTTTGGCTGCATAAATGTCTTCTTTTGAGAAGTGTCTGTTCATGTACTTTGCCCACTTTTTGATGGGGTTTTTTGTATTTTTCTTGTAAATTTGTTTGAGTTCATTGTAGATTCTGGATATTAGCCCTTTGTCAGATGAGTAGGTTGCAAAAATTTTCTCCCATTTTGTAGGTTGCCCGTTCACTCTGATGGTAATTTCTTTTGCTGCGCAGAAGCTCTTTAGTTTAATTAGATCCCATTTGTCAATTTTGGCTTTTGTTGCCATTGCTTTTGGTGTTTTAGACATGAAGCCCTGGCCCATGTCTATGTCCTGAATGGTAATTCCTAGCTTTTCTTCTAGGGTTTTTATGGTTTTACATCTAACGTTTCAGTCTTTAATCCATCTTGAATTGATTTTTGTATAAGGTATAAGGAAGGGATCCAGTTTCAGCTTTCTACATATGGCTAGCCAGTTTTCCCAGCACCATTTATTAAATAGGGAATCCTTTCTCCACTGCTTGTTTTTCTCAGTTTTGTCAAAGATCAGATAGTTGTAGATATGCGGCATTATTTCTGAGGGCTCTGTTCTGTTCCATTGATCTATATCTCTGTTTTGGTACCAGTACCATACTGTTTTGATTACTGTAGCTTTGTAGTATAGTTTGAAGTCAGGTAGTGTGACGCCTCCAGCTTTGTTCTTTTGGCTTAGGATTGACTTGGCGATGCGGGCTCTTTTTTGGTTCCCTGTGAACTTTAAAGTAGTTTTTTCCAATTCTGTGAAGAAAGGCATTGGTAGCTTGATGGGGATGGCATTGAATCTGTAAATTACCTTGGGCAGTATGGCCATTTTCACATTATTGATTCTTCCTACCCATGAGCAAGGAATGTTCTTCCATTTGTATCCTCTTTTATTTCATTGAGCAGTGGTTTGTAGCTCTCCTTGAAAAGGTCCTTCATATCCCTTGTAAGTTAGATTCCTAGGTATTTTATTCTCTTGGAAGCAATTGTGAATGGGAGTTCACTCATGATTTGGCTCTCTGTTTGTCTGTTGTTGGTGTATAAGAACGCTTGTGATTTTTGTACATTGATTTTGTATCCTGAGACTTTGCTGAAGTTGCTTATCAGCTTAAGGAAATTTTGGGCTGAGACAATGGGGTTTTCTAGATATATAATCATGTCGTCTGCAAACATGGACAATTTGACTTCCTCTTTTCCTAATTGAATACCCTTTATTTCATTCTGCTGCTTAATTGCCCTGGCCAGAACTTCCAAAACTATGTTGAATAGGAGTGATGAGAGAGGGCATCCCTGTCTTGTGCCAGTTTTCAAAGGGAATGTTACCAGTTTTTGCCCATTCAGTATGATATTGTCTGTGGGTTTGTCATAGATAGCTCTTATTATTTTGAAATACATCCCATCAGTACCTAATTTATTGAGAGTTTTTAGCATGAAGGGTTGTTGAATTTTGTCAAACGCCTTTTCTGCATCTATTGAGATAATCATGTGGTTTTTGTCTTTGGTTCTGTTTATATGCTGGATTACATTTATTGATTTGTGTATATTGAACCAGCCTTGCATCCCAGGGATGAAGCCCACTTGATCATGGTGGATAAGCTTTTTGATGTGCTGCTAGATTCAGTTTGCCAGTATTTTATTGAGGATTTTTGCATCAATGTTCATCAATGATATTGGTCTAAAATTATCTTTTTTGGTTGTGTCTCTACCCGGCTTTGGTATCAGGATGATGCTGGCCTCATAAAATGAGTTAGGGAGGATTCCCTCTTTTTCTGTTGATTGGAATAGTTTCAGAAGGAATGGTACCAATTCCTCCTTGTACCTCTGGTAGAATTCGGCTGTGAATCCATCTGGTCCTGGGCTCTTTTTGGTTGGTAAGCTATTGATTATTGCCACAATTTCAGATCCTGTTATTGGTCTATTCAAAGATGCAACTTCTTCCTGGTCTAGTCTTGGGAGGGTGTATGTGTCGAGGAATTTATCCATTTCTTCTAGATTTTCTAGTTTATTTGCGTAGAGGTGTTTGTAGTATTCTCTGATGGTAGTTTGTATTTCTGTGGGATTAGTGGTGATATCCCGTTTATCATTTTTTATTGCATCTATTTGATTCTTCTCTCTTTTTTTCTTTATTAGTCTTGCTAGCGGTCTATCAATTTTGTTGATCCTTTCAAAAAACCAGCTCCTGGATTCATTATTTTTTTGAAGGGTTTTTGTGTCTCTATTTCCTTCAGTTCTGCTCTGATTTTAGTTATTTCTTGCCTTCTGCTAGATTTTGAATGTGTTTGCTCTTGCTTCTCTAGTTCATTTAATTGTGATGTTAGGGTGTCAATTTTGGATATTTTCTGCTTTCTCTTGTGGGCGTTTAGTGCTATAAATTTCCCTCTACACACTGATTTGATTGCATCCCAGAGATTCTGATATGTGTGTCTTTGTTCTCATTGGTTTCAAATAACTTCTTTATTTCTGCCTTCATTTCGTTATGTACCCAGTAGTCATTCAGGAGCAGGTTGTTCAGTTTCCATGTAGTTGAGTGGTTTGAGTGAGATTCTTAATCCTGAGTTCTAGTTTGATTGCACTGTGGTCTGAGAGATAGTTTGTTATAATTTCGATTATTTTACATTTGCTGAGGAGAGCTTTACTTCCAAGTATGTGGTCAATTTTGGAATAGGAGTGGTGTGGTGCTGAAAAAAAATGTATATTCTGTTGATTTCGGGTGGTGAGTTCTGTAGATGTCTATTAGGTCCGCTTGGTGCAGAGCTGAGTTCAATTCCTGGGTATCCTTGTTGACTTTCTGTCTAGTTGATCTGTCTAATGTTGATGGTGGGTTGTTAAATTCTCCCATTATTAATGTATGGGAGTCTAAGTCTCTTTGTAGGTCACTCAGGACTTGCTTTATGAATCTGGGTGCTCCTGTATTGGGTGCATATATATTTAGGATAGTTAGCTCTTCTTGTTGAATTGATCCCTTTACCATTATGTAATGGCCTTCTTTGTCTCTTTTGATCTTTGCTGATTTAAAGTCTGTTTTATCAGAGACTAGGATTGCAACCCCTGCCTTTTTTGCTTTCCATTTGCTTGGTAGATCTTCCTCCATCCCTTTATTTTGAGACTGTGTGTGTCTCTGCATATGAGATAGGTTTCCTGAATACAGCACATGGATTGGTCTTGAGTGTTTATCCAATTTGCCAGTCTGTGTCTTTTAATTGGAGCATTTAGCCCATTTACATTTGAGGTTAATATTGTTATGTGTGAATTTGATCCTGTCATGATGATGTTAGCTGGTTATTTTGCTCGTTAGTTGATGCAGTTTCTTCCTAGTGTCAATGGTCTTTACATTTTGGCATGATTTTGCAGTGGCTGGTACCGGTTGTTCCTTTCCATGTTTAGTGCTTCCTTCTGGAGCTGTTTTAGGACAGGCCTGCTGGTGACAAAATCTCTCAGCATTAGCTTGTCTATAAACTGTTTTATTTCTCCTTCACTTATGAAGCTTAGTTTGGCTGGATATGAAATTCTGGGTTGAAAATTCTTTTCTTTAAGAATGTTGAATATTGGCCCCCACTCTCTTCTGGCTTGTGGGGTTTCTGCCAAGAGATCCACTGTTAGTCTGATGGGCCTCCCTTTGAGGGTAACCCAACCTTTCTCTCTGGCTGCCCTTAACATTTTTTCTTCCATTTCACCTTTGGTGAACCTGACAATAATGTGTCTTGGAATTGCTCTTCCCGAGTATCTTTTTGGCGTTCTCTGTATTTCCTGAATCTGAATGTTGGCTGCCTTGTTAGATTGGGGAAGTTCTTCTGGATAATATCCTGCAGAGTGTTTTCCAACTTGGTTCCATTCTCCCCGTCACTTTCAGATACACCAATCAGACGTAGATTTGGTCTCTTCACATAGTCTCATATTTCTTGGAGGCTTTGCTCGTTTCTTTTTATTCTTTTTTCTCTAAACTTCCCTTCTCCCTACATTTCATTCATTTCATCTTCCATTGCTGATACCCCTTCTTCCAGTTGATCGCTTGGGCTCCTGAGGCCTCTGCATTCTTCACGTAGTTCTCGAGCTTTGGTTTTCATCTCCATCAGCTCCTTAAAGCACTTCTCTGTATTGGTTATTCTAGTTATACATTCTTCTAAATTTTTTTCAAAGTTTTCAACTTCTTTGCCTTTGGTTTGAATGTCCTCCCATAGCTTGGAGTAATTTGATCGTCTGAAGGCTTCTTCTCTCAGCTTGTGAAAGTCATTCTCCATCCAGCTTTGTTCCATTGCTGGTGAGGAACTGCATTCCTTTGGAGGAGGAGAGGTGCTCTGCTTTTTAGAGTTTCCAGTTTTTCTGCTCTTTTTTTCCCCCATCTTTGTGGTTTTATCTACTTTTGATCATTGAGGATGGTGAAGTACAGATGGGTTTTTGGTGTGGATGTCCTTTCTGTTTGTTAGTTTTCCTTCTAACAGACAGGGCCCTCAGCTGCAGGTCTGTTGGCGTACCTGGTCGTGTGAGGTGTCAGTCTGCCCCTGCTGGGGGGTGCCACCCAGTTAGGAGGCTCGTGTGTCAGGGGTCAGGGACCCACTTGAGGAGGCAGTCTGCCCGTTCTCAGATTTCCAGCTGCAAGCTGGGAGAACCACTGCTCTCTTCAAAGCTGTCAGACAGGGACATTTAAGTCTGCAGAGGTTACTGCTGTCTTTTTGTTTGTCTGTGCCCTGCCCCCAGAGGTGGAGCCTACAGAGGCAGGCAGGCCTCCTTGAGCTGCGGTGGGCTCCACCCTCTTCGAGCTTCCCGGCTGCTTTGTTTACCTAAGCAAGCCTGGGCAATGGGGGGCGCCCTTCCCCCAGCCTCGCTGCCACCTTGCAGTTTGATCTCAGACTACTGTGCTAGCAATCAGTGAGATCCGTGGGGGTAGGACCCTCCGAGCCAGGTGCGGGATACAATCTCCTGGTGCATGGTTTTTTAAGCCCGTCAGAAAAGTGCAGTATTATGGTGGGAGTGACCCGATTTTCCAGGTGCTGTCTGTCATCTCTTTCTTTGACTAGGAAAGGGAACTCCCTGACACCTTACACTTCCCGAGTGAGGCAATGCCTCACCTTGCATCGGTTCACGCACGGTGCGTGCACCCACAGACCTGCGTGCACTGACTGGCACTTCCTAGTGCGATGAACACGTACCTCGGAGGGAAATTCAGAAATCAACCATCTTCTGCGTCGCTCACGCTGGGAGCTGTAGAACGGAGCTGTTCCTATTCGGCCATCTTGGCTCCTCCTCCCCATAACGTTTCTTAGAGCAGCTTTGAAGCACTCTTTTCGTAGAATCTGCAAGAGGATATTTGGACTGCTTTGAGGCCTTCGATGGAAACGGGAATATCTTCACATAAAAATTAGACAAAAGCATTCTCAGAAACTTCTATTTGATGTGTGCATTCAACTCACAGAGCTGAACCTTTCTTTTGATACGACAGTTTTGAAACACGATTTTTGTAGAATCTGGAAGTGGACATTAGGAGAGCTTTAAGGCCAATGGTGGAAAAGAAAATATCTTCACATAAAAACCAGTCAGAAGCATTCTCAGAAACTACTTAGTGATGTTTGCATTCAACTCACAGGGTTGAACATACCTGTGCATAGAGGAGTTCTGAAACAATCTTTTCCTAAAATATGCAAGTAGATATTTGGACTGCTTTGAGGCCGTCATTGGAAATGGGAATATCCTCACATAAAAACTAGACAGAAGCATTCTCAGAAACTACTTCGTGATGTGTGCATTGAACTCACAGACTTGAACCTTTCTTTTGATAGAGCAGTTTTGAAACACTCTTTTTGAAGAATCTGCAAGTGAACATTTGGAGAGCTTTGAGGCCTATGGTGGAAAAGGAAATATCTTAACATAAAAACCAGACAGAAGCATTCTCAGAATCTACTTTGTGATGTTTGCATTCAACTCAAGGAGTTGAACATACCTTTTCTAAAAGCAGTTTTGAAACACTTTTTTCATAGAATCTGCCAGTGGACATTTGGACTGCTTTGAGGCCTTCGTTGGAAACGGGAATATCTTCACATAAAAATTAGACAGAATCTTTCCCAGAAACTTCTCTGTGATGTGTGCTTTCAACTCACAGAATTGAACCTTTCTTTTCATAGTGCAGTTTTGAAACACTCTTTTGTAAAATCTGCAAGTGGACATTTGGAAAGCTATTAGGCTTATGGTGGGAAAGGAAATATCTTTACATAAAAAGCAGACAGAAGCATTTTCAGAATCTTCTTTGTGATGTTTGCATTCAACTCACAGAGTTGAACATACCTTTGAATAGATCAGTTTTGAAACACTCTTTTCGTAGAATCTGCAAGTAGATATTTGGAATGCTTTGAGGCCTTCGTTGGAAATGGGAATATCTTCCCATTAAAACTAGACAGAAGCATTACCAGAAACTTCATTGTGATGTGTGCATTCAACTCACAGACCTGAACCTTTCTTTCGATAGAGTAGCTTTGAAACTCTCTTTTGTCGAATCTGCAAGTGGACATTCGGAGAGATTTGAGGCCTATGGTGGAAAAGGAAATTTCTTCACATAAATACTAGAGAGAAACATTTTCAGAAACTTCATCGTGATGTGTGCGTGCAACTCACAGAGTTGAACCTTTCTTTTGATAGAGCAGTTTTGAAACACACTTTTTGAAGAATCTGCAAGTGGACATTTGGGGAGCTTTGAGGCCTATGGTGGAAAACGAAATATCTTCACATAAAAACTACAGAGAAGCATTCTCAGAAACTTCTCTGTGATGTTTGCATTCAACACATAGAGTTCAACATACCTTTTCAGAGAGCAGTTTTGAGACCCTCTTATCGAAGAATCTGCAAGTAGACATTTGGAAAGTTTGATTGCTATGGTGGAAAAGGAAATACCTTCACATAAAGTCCAGACAGAAGAATTCCCAAAAACTTCTTTGTGATGTTTGCATTCAATGCACGGAGTTGAAAATACCTTTTCATAGAACAGTTTTGATATGCTCTTTTTTGGTAGAATCTGCAAATGGATATTTGGACTGCTTTGAGGCCTTCGTTGGAAACGGGAATATCTTCACATAAAAACTAGACAGAATCGTTCTCAGAAACTTCTTTGTGATGTGTACATTTAACTCACAGAGTGAAACCTTTCTTTTCCTGGAGCAGTTTTGAAACACTCTCTTTGTAAAATCTGCAAGTGGACATTTGGAAAGCTTTTAGGCCTATGTTGGAAAAGGAAATATCTTCACATAAAAAACAGACATAAGCATTCTCAGAAACTTCTTGTGATGTTTGCATTGAACTCACAGAGTTGAGCATACCTTTTCATATATCAGATATGAAACTCTGTTTTCATAGAATCTGCAAGTGGATATGTGGCCTCCTTTGAGGCCTTCGTTGGAAATGGGAATATCTTCCCATAAAAGCTAGACAGAAGCATTCTCAGAAACTTCCTTGGGATGTGTGCATTCAACTCACACACTTGAAACTTTCTTTTGATAGAGCAGTTTTGAAACACTCTTTTTGTCGAATCTGCAAGTGGACATTTGGAGAGCTTTGAGGCCTATGGTACAAAAGGATATATATTCACATAAAAACTAGACAGACGGATTCTCCGAAACTTCTTTGTGATGTTTGCATTCAAGTCACAGTGTTGAACATAGCTCTTCATAGAGCAGTTTTTAAACACTCTTTTCGAAGAATCTGCAAGTGGAGATTTGGAGTGCTTTTAGGCCTACGGTGGAAAAGGAAATATCTTCACAAGAAAACTCGTCCAAAGCATTCTCAGAAACTTCTTTGTGATGTTTGCATTCAACTCACAGAGTTGAACATAGCTTTTCATAGAGCTGTTTTGAAACACTCCTTCGTAGAATCTGCAAGTGAATATTTGGACTGCTTTGAGGTCTTCATTGGAAACGGGAATATCTTCACATAAAAAATAGACAGAAGCATTCTCAGAAACATTTTTGTGGTGTGTGCATTCAACTCACAGACTTACACCTTACTTTTGATAGAGCTGTTTTGAAACACTCTTTTTGTAGAATCTGCAAGTTGACATTTGGAGAGCTTTGAGGTCTATGGTGGTAAAGGAATTATTTCACATAAAAACCAGACGGAAGCGTTCTCAGAAACTTCTTTGTGATGTTTGCATGCAACTCACAGAGTTGAACATACCTTTTCATAGAGCAGTTTTGAAACACTCTTTTCGTAGAATCTGCAAGTGGATATTTTGACTGCTTTAAGGCACTCATTGGAAATGGGAATATCTTCCCATAAAAACTAGACAGAAGCATTCTCAGAAACATCTTGTGATGTGTGCATTCAACTCACAGTCTTTAAGCTTTCTTTTGATAGAGCAGTTTTGAGACACTCTTTTTGAAGAATCTGCAAGTGGACATTTTGAGACCTTTGAGGCCTACGGTGGAAAAGAAATATCTTCACAAAAAAAACTAGTCAGAAGCATTCTCAGAAACGTCTTTGCCATGTTTGTATTCAACTCACAGAGTTGAACATACCTGTTTATAGAGCAGTTTTGAAAAACTCTTTCGTAGAATCTGCAAGTGGATATTTGGACTGCTTTGAGGCCTTCGTTGGAAACGGGAATATGGTCACAATAAAACTAGACAGAAGTATTCTCAGAAACTTCTAAGTGGTGTGTGCATTCAACTCACAGACGTACACCTTTCTATTCATAGAGCAGTTTTGAATCACTCTTTTTGTAGAATCTGCAAGTGGACATTTGGAGAGCTTTGAGGCCTCCGGTGGAAAAGAAATTATCTTCACATAAAAACCAGACAGAAGCATTCTCAGAAACTTCTTTGTGATGTTTGCATTCAACTCACAGAATTAAACATAGCTTTTCATGGAGCAGTTTTGAAACTCTCTTTTCGTAGAATCTGCAATTGGACATTTGGAGAGCTTTGAGGCCTACGGTGGAAAAAGAAATATCTTCACCTAAAAAGTAGACAAAAGAATTCTCAGAAACTTCTTTGTGATGTTAGGATTCAACTCACAGATTTGAACATAACTGTTCATAGATCAGTTTTGAAACACTGTTTTTGTAGAATCTGCAAGTGGATATTTGGTGCGCTTTTAGGCCTATGGTAGAAAAGGAAATATTTTAACATAAAAATTAGACAGAAACATTCTCAGAAACTACTTCGTGATGTGTGCATTCAACTCACAGAGTTGAACCTTTGTTTTGATAGAGCAGTTTTGAAACACTTTATTTGTAGTATCTGCAAGTGGACATTTGGGTTCTTTGTGTCCTATGGTTGAAAAGGAAATACCTTCACATAAAAACTAGACAGAGGCATTCTCATAAACTTCTTTGTAATGTTTGTATTCAACTCACAGAGTTGAGCATACCTTTTCATAGAGCAGTTTTGAAACACTCTTTTCGTAGAATCTGCAAGTGGATATTTTGACTGCTATGAGGCCTTCATTGGAAATGGGAATATTTTCACATAAAAGCTAGACAGAAGCATTCTCAGAAACTTCTTTGTGATGTGTGCATTCAACTCACAGAGTTGAACCCTTCTTTTGATAGAGCAGTTTTGAAACACTTTTTTTGTAGAATTTGCAAGTGGACATTTGGAGAGATTTGAGGCCTATGGATGAAAGGGAGATATCTTCACATAAAACCTCAACAGA
The DNA here is from genome assembly GCF_000001405.40 of Homo sapiens. Taxonomy (NCBI): domain Eukaryota; kingdom Metazoa; phylum Chordata; class Mammalia; order Primates; family Hominidae; genus Homo; species Homo sapiens. The sequence continues at coordinate 30,981,067 of NC_000020.11, read as the reverse complement.
AGCATTCTCAGAAACTTCTTTGTGATGTTTGCATTCAACTCAAAGAGTTGAACATACCTCTTGATAGAGCAGTTTTGAAACACTCTTTTCGTAGAATCTACAGGTGGATATTTGTACTTCTTTGATGCCTTCGTTGCAAACGGGAATATCTTCACAAAAATACTAGACCGAAGAATTCTCAGAAACTTCTTTGTGATGTTTGCATTCAACTCACAGAGGTGAACACACCTTTTCTTAGAGCAGTTTTAAAACACACTTTTCGCAAAATCTGCAAGTGGACATTGGGAGAGCTTTGAGTCCAATGTTGCAAAAGGAAATATCTTCACATAAAAACTAGACAGAAGCATTCTCACAAACGTCTTTGTGATGTCTGCATTCAAGTCAAAGAGTTGAATATACCTGTTCATAGAGTAGTTTTGAAACACTCTTTTTGTAGGAACTGCAAATGAACATTTAGAGAGCTTTGAGGCCTATGGTGGAAAAGGAATATCTTCACATAAAAACCAGACAGAAGCATTCTCAGAAACATCTTTTTTTTTTTTTTTTTTTTTGAGACGGAGTCTCGCTCTGTCGCCCAGGTCGGACTGCGGACTGCAGTGGCGCAATCTCGGCTCACTGCAAGCTCCGCTTCCCGGGTTCACGCCATTCTCCTGCCTCAGCCTCCCGAGTAGCTGGGACTACAGGCGCCCGCCACCGCGCCCGGCTAATTTTTTGTATTTTTAGTAGAGACGGGGTTTCACCTTGTTAGCCAGGATGGTCTCGATCTCCTGACCTCATGATCCACCCGCCTCGGCCTCCCAAAGTGCTGGGATTACAGGCGTGAGCCACCGCGCCCGGCCCCCTCTCAGAAACATCTTTGTGATGTTTGCATTCAACTCACCGTGTTGAACATACCTTTTCATGGAGCAGTTTTGAAACACTCTGTTCATAGAATCTGCAAGAGGATATTTGTACTGATTTGAACCCTTCCTTGGAAACGGGCATATCTTCACATAAAAGCTAGACAGAAGCATTCTCAGAAACTTATTTTTGATGTTTCCATTCAACTGACAGAGTTGAACTTTTCTTTTGATAGAGCAGTTTGAAACACTATTTTTGTAGAATCTGCAAGTCGACATTTGGAGAGCTTTGAGGGCTATGGTGTAAAAAGAAATATCTTCACATAAAAACTGGACAGAAGCATTCTCAGAAACTTATTTGTGATGTTTACATTCAACTCACAGAGTTGAACAAGCCTTTTTCATAGAGAACTCTTGAAACATTCTTTTCATAGAATCTACAAGTGGATATTTGGAGCGCTTTGAGGCCTACTTTGGAAACATGAATATCTTCACATAAAAACTAAACAGAAGTATTCTCAGAAACCTCTTTTTGATGTGTGCATTCAACTCACAGAGTTGAATCTTTATTTTGATAGAGCAGTTTTGAAACACTTTTTGTAGAATCTGCAAGCCGACATTCGGAGAGCGTTGAGGCCCATGGTGGAAAAGGAAATACCTTCACATAAAATTTAGACAGAAGTATTCTCAGAAACTTCTTTATGATGTTTGCATTCAACTCACAGTTTTGAACATACCTTTTCTTAGAGCGGTTTTGAAACACTCTTTTCGTAGAATCTGCAAGAGGAAATTAGGACTGCTTTGAGGCCTTCATTGGAAAAGGGAATATTTTCATATAGAAAGTAGACAGAAGCATTCTCAGAAAATTCTTTGTGATGTGTACATTCAACTCACAGAGTTGAACCTTTCTTTGATAGAGCAGTTTTGAAACACTCTCTTTTTAGAATCTGCAAGTGGACATTTTGAGAACTTTGAGGCCCATGTTGGAAAAGGAATTATCTTCACATAAACACTGGAGAGAAGCATTCTCAGAAACTTCTTTGTGATGTTTGAAAGCAACTCACAGAGTTGAACATAGCTTTTTTATAGAGCAGTTTTGAAACACTCTTTTCGTAGAATCTGCAAGTGGATATTTGGACTGTTTGAGGCCTTCGTTGGAAACAAGAATATCTTCACATAAAAAGAAGATAGAAGCATTCTCATAAACTTCTTTCTGATGTGTGCATTCAACTATCAGAGTTCAACCTTTGTTTTGATAGAGCCTGTTTTGATACACTCTTTGGTAGAATCTGCAAGTGGACAGTTGGAGAGCTTTGAGGCCTATGGTGGAAAAGGAAATATCTTCACATAAAAACTAGACAGAAGCATTCTCAGAAAGTTTTTTGTGATGCTTGCATCCAACTCACAGAGTTGAACATACCTGTTTATAGAGCAGTTTCGAAACACTCTTTTCGTAGAATCTGCAAGTGGATATTTGGACTACTTTGAAGGCCTTCATTGGAAATGGGAATATCTTCACATAAAAATCAGACAGAAGAATTCTCAGAAACTCCTTCATGATGCGGGCATTCACCTGACTCAGTTGAACCTTTCTTTTGATAGAGCAGTTTGGAAACACTCTTTTTGAAGAATGTTCAAGTGGACATTTCAGATCTTTGAGGCCTATGGTGGAAAAGGAAATATCTTCACATAAAAAATAGACAGAAGCATTCTCTGAAACTTCTTTGTGATGCTTGCATTCAACACACAAAGTTGAACATATCTTTTCTTAGATCAGTTTTGAAACACACTTTTCATAAAATTTGCAAGTGAACATTGGGAGAGCTTAGAGGCCTATGGTGGAAAAGGAATATCTTCACATGAAAACCAGACAGAGGCATTCTCAGAAACTTCTTTCTGATGTTTGCATTCAACTCACAGAGTTGAACACACCTTTTCATGGAGCAGTTTTGAAACACTTTTCGTAGAATCTGCAAGTGGATATTTGTACTGATTTGAGGCCTTCCTTGGAATCAGGAATATCTTCACATAAAAACTAGACAGAATCATCCTCAGAAACTTCTTTTTGATGTGTGCATTCAACTCGCAGTGTTGAACCTTTCTTCTGATAGAGCAGTTTTGAAACAGTCATTTTGTAGAATCTGCAAGTGGATATTTGGAGAGCTTTGAGCCCTATGGAGGAAAAGGAAGTATCTTCACATAAAAAGTAGACAGAAGCATTCCCAGAAACTTATTTGTGGTGTTTGCATTCAACTCAGAGAGTTGAACATACCTTTTCTTAGAGCAGTTTTGAAACCCTCTTTTCGTAGAATATGCAAGTAGATATTTCGACTGCTTTGAAGCCTTCTTTGGAAACGGGAATATCTTCACATAAAAACTAGACAGAAGCATTCTCAGAAACTTATTTGTGATGTGTGCATTCAACTCACAGGGTGGAACCTTTATTTTGATACAGCCGTTTTGAAACACTCTTTTTGTAGAATCTGCAAGTGAACATTTGGAAAGCTTTCAGGCCTATGGTGGAAAAGGAAATATCTTCACATAAAAACCGGACCGAAGCATTCTCAGAAACTTCTTTGGGATGTTTGCATTCAACTCACAGAGTTGAACATACCTTTTTATAGAGCAGTTTTGAAACACTCTTTTCGTAAAATCTGCCAGTGGCTATTTTGACTGCTTTGAGGCCTTCGTTGGAAACGGGAATATCTTCACATAAAAACTAGACAGAAGCATTCTCAGAAACTTCTTTCTGATGTGTGCATTCAACTCACAGAGTTGAACCTTTCTCTTCATAGAGCAGTTTAGAAACACTCTTTTTGTAGAATCTGCATGTGGACATTTGGAAAGTTTTGAGGCCTATCGTGAACAAGGAATATCTTCACATAAAAACCAGACAGAAGCATTCTCAGAAACTGCTTTCTGATATTTGCATTCAACTCACACAGTTGAACATATTTTAATGGAACAGTTTTGAAACACTTTTTTCATAGACTCTGCAATTCGATATTTGGACTGCTTTTAGGCCTTCCTTGGAAATTGGAATATCTTCACATAAAAAGTAGACAGAAGCATTCTCAGAAACTTCTTTGTGATGTGTCCATTCAACTCACTGAGTTGAACATTTCTTTTGATAGAGCAGTTTGAAACACTCTCTTTGTAGAATCTGCAAGTCGACATTTGGAGACCTTTGAGGCCTATGGTGGAAAAGGAAATATCTTCACATAAAAACCAGACAGAAGCATTCTCAGAAACTTCTTTGTTATGTTTGCATTCAACTCACAGAGTTCAACATACCTTTTCATAGAGCAGTTTTGAAACACTCTTTTCGTACTATCTGCATATGGATATTTTTACTGCTTTGAGGCCTTCATTGGAAACGGGAATATCTTCACATAAAAACTAGATAGAAGCATTCTCAGAAACGTCTTTGTGATGTGTGCATTCAACTCACAGAGCTGAACCTTTCTTTTGATAGAGCCGTTTTGAAACACTCTTTTTGTGGAATCTGCAACTGGACATTTGGAGAGCTTTGAGGCCTATGGTGGAAATGATATATCTTCACTTAAAAACTAGACAAAAGCATTCTCAGAAACTTCTTTGTGATGTTTTCATTGAACTCATGAAGTTGAACTTATCTTTTTATAGCCCAGTATTGAAACACATTTTTGGTAGAATCTGCAAGTTGACATTTGGACTGCTTTGAGGCCTTCGTTGGAAATGGGAATATCTTCCCATAAATACTTGTCAGAAGCACCTGGGGGGAGGAGCCAAGTTTGCCAAATAGGAATAGCTCCAGTGTACTGCTCCCAGCATGAATGATGCAGAAGTCAGGTTATTTGTGCATTTTCATCTGAGGTACTGTGTTCATCTCACTAGGGAGTGCCAGACAGTGGGCGCAGGTCAGTGGGTGCATGCACCCTGTGTGAGCCGAATCAGGGCGAGGCATTGCCTCATTCGGGAAGTACAAGGGGTCAGGGAGTTACCTTTCCTAGTCAAAGAAATGTGTGACAGACGGCACTTGGAAAATCGGGTCACTCCCACCCTAATACTGCGCTTTTCTGACGGGCTTAAAAAACCATGCACCAGGAGATTGTATCCCGCACCTGGCTCGGAGGGTCCTACCCCCACGGATCTCACTGATTGCTAGCACAGTAGTCTGAGATCAAACTGCAAGGCGGCAGCGAGGCTGGGGGAAGGGCGCCCCCCATTGCCCAGGCTTGCTTAGGTAAACAAAGCAGCCGGGAAGCTCGAAGAGGGTGGAGCCCACCGCAGCTCAAGGAGGCCTGCCTGCCTCTGTAGGCTCCACCTCTGGGGACAGGGCACAGACAAACAAAAAGACAGCAGTAACCTCTGCAGACTTAAATGTCCCTGTCTGACAGCTTTGAAGAGAGCAGTGGTTCTCCCAGCACGCAGCTGGAAATCTGAGAACGGGCAGACTGCCTCCTCAAGTGGGTCCCTGACCCCTGACACACGAGCCTCCTAACTGGGTGGCACCCCCCAGCAGGGGCAGACTGACACCTCACACGACCAGGTACGCCAACAGACCTGCAGCTGAGGGCCCTGTCTGTTAGAAGGAAAACTAACAAACAGAAAGGACATCCACACCAAAAACCCATCTGTACTTCACCATCCTCAATGATCAAAAGTAGATAAAACCACAAAGATGGGGGAAAAAAAGAGCAGAAAAACTGGAAACTCTAAAAAGCAGAGCACCTCTCCTCCTCCAAAGGAATGCAGTTCCTCACCAGCAATGGAACAAAGCTGGATGGAGAATGACTTTCACAAGCTGAGAGAAGAAGCCTTCAGACGATCAAATTACTCCAAGCTATGGGAGGACATTCAAACCAAAGGCAAAGAAGTTGAAAACTTTGAAAAAAATTTAGAAGAATGTATAACTAGAATAACCAATACAGAGAAGTGCTTAAGGGAGCTCATGGAGCTGATTACCAAGGCCCGAGAACTACGTGAAGAATGCAGAAGCCTCAGGAGACAATGGAATCAACTGGAAGAAAGGGTATCAGCGATGGAAGATGAAATGAATGAAATGAAGTGAGAAGGGAAGTTTAGAGAAAAAAGAATAAAAAGAAATGAGCAAATCCTCCAGGAAATACGGGACTATGTGAAAAGACCAAATCTACATCTGTTTGGTGTATCTGAAAATGATGGGGAGAATGGAACCAAGTTGGAACACTCTGCAGGATATTATCCAGGAGAACTTCCCCAATCTAACAAGGCAGGCCAACATTCAGATTCAGGAAATACAGAGAACACCACAAAGATACTCGAGAAGAGCAACTCCAAGACACATAATTGTCAGATTCCGCAAAGTTGAAATGAAGGAAAAAATGTTAAGGGCAGCCAGAGAGAAAGGTTGGGTTACCCTCAAAGGGAGGCCCATCAGACTAACAGTGGATCTCTTGGCAGAAACCCCACAAGCCAGAAGAGAGTGGGGGCCAATATTCAACATTCTTAAAGAAAAGAATTTTCAACCCAGAATTTCATATCCAGCCAAACTAAGCTTCCTAAGTGAAGGATAAATAAAATACTTCACAGAAAAGCAAATGCTGAGAGATTTTGTCACCACCAGGCCTGCCCTAAAAAAGCTCCTGAAGGAAGCACTAAACATGGAAAGGAACAACCAGTACCAGCCACTGCAAAATCATGCCAAAATGTAAAGACCATTGAGACTAGGAAGAAACTGCATCAATTAACGAGCAAGATAACTAGCTAACATCATAATGACAGGATCAGATTCACACACAACAATATTAACTTTAAATGTAAATGAACTAAATGCTGCAATTAAAAGACAGACTGGCATATTGGATAAAGAATCAAGACCCATCAGTGTGCTGCATTCAGGAAACCCATCTCACGTGCAGAGACACACATAGGCTCAAAATGAAAGGATGGAGGAAGATCTACCAAGAAAATGGAAAACAAAAAAGGCAGGGGTTGCAATGCTAGTCTCTGATAAAACAGACTTTAAACCAACAAAGATAAAAAGAGACAAAGAAGGCCATTACATAATGGTAAAGGGATCAATTCAACAAGAAGAGCTAATTATCCTAAATATATATGCACCCAATACAGGAGCACCCAGATTCATAAAGCAAGTCCTGAGTGACCTACAAAGAGACTTAGACTCCCACACATTAAAAATGGGAGACTTTAACACCCCACTGTCAACATTAGACAGATCAACTAGACAGAAAGTCAACAAGGATATCCAGGAATTGAACTCAGCTCTGCACCAAGCGGACTTAATAGACATCTACAGAACTTTCCACCCCATATCAACAGAATATACATTTTTTTCAGCACCACACCACACCTATTTCAAAATGTACCACATACTTGGAAGTAAAGCTCTCCTCAGCAAATGTAAAAGAACAGAAATTATAACAAACTCTCTCTCAGACCACAGTGCAATCAAACTAGAACTCAGGATTAAGAATCTCACTCAAACCACTCAACTACATGGAAACTGAGCAACCTGCTCCTGAGTGACTACTGGGTACATAACGAAATGAAGGCAGAAAGAAACATGTTCCTTGAAACCAACGAGAACAAAGACACAACATACCAGAATCTCTGGGACTCATTCAAAGCAGTGGGTAGAGGGAAATTTACAGCACTAAATGCCCACAAGAGAAAGCAGGAAAGATCCAAAATTGACACCCTAACATCACAATTAAAAGAACTAAAAAAGCAAGAGAAAACACATTCAAAATCTAGCAGAAGGCAAGAAATAACTAAAATCAGAGCAGAACTGAAGGAAATGGAGACACAAAAAACCCTTCAAAAAATTAATGGATCCAGGAGCTGGTTTTTTGAAGGGTCAACAAAATTGATACACCACTAGCAAGACTAAAAAGAAAAAAAGAGAGAAGAATCAAATAGATGCAATAAAAAATGATAAAGGGGATATCACCACCGATTCCACAGAAATACAAACTACCATCAGAGAATACTACACACACCTCTATGCAAATAAACTGGAAAATCTAGATGAAATGGATAAATTCCTCGACACATACACTCTCCCAAGACTAAACCAGGAAGAAGTTGAATCTCTGAATAGACCAATAACAGGATCTGAAATTGTGGCAATAATCAATAGCTTACCAACCAAAAAGAGTCCAGGACCAGACGGATTCACAGCCGAATTCTACCAAAGGTACAAGGAGGAGCTGGTACCATTCCTTCTGAAACTATTCCAATCAATAGAAAACGAGGGAATCCTCCCTAACTCATTTTATGAGGCCAGCATCATTCTGATTCCAAAGCCGGGCAGACACAATCAAAAAAGAGAATTTTAGACCAATATCCTTGATGAACATTGATGCAAAAATCCTCAATAAAATACTGGCAAACCGAATCCAGCAGCACATCAAAAAGCTTATCCACCATGATCAAGTGGGCTGGGATCATCCCTGGGATGCAAGGCTGGTTCAATATATGCAAATCAATAAATGTAATCCAGCATATAAACAGAACCAAAGAAAAAAACTCATGATTATCTCAATAGACGCAGAAAAGGCATTTGACAAAATTCAACAATCCTTCATGCTAAAAACTCTCAATAAATTAGGTATTGATGGGATGCATTTCAAAATAATAAGAGCTATCTATGACAAACCCACAGACAATATCATACTGAATGGGCAAAAACTGGAAGCATTCCCTTTGAAAACTGGCACAAGAGAGGGATGCCCTCTCTCACCACTCCTATTCAACATAGTGTTGGAAGTTCTGGCCAGGGCGATTAAGCAGGAGAATGAAATAAAGGGTATTCAATTAGATAAAGAGGAAGTCAAATTGTCCCAGTTTGCAGATGACATGATTGTATATCTAGAAAACCCCATTGTCTCAGCCGAAAATCTCCTTAAGCTGATAAGCAACTTCAGCAAAGTCTCAGGATACAAAATCAATGTGCAAAAACCACAAGCATTCTTATACACCAACAACAGACAAACAGAGAGCCAAATCATGACTTAACTCCCATTCACAGTTGTTTCCAAGAGAATAAAATACCTAGGAATCCAACTTACAAGGGACGTGAAAGACCTCTTCAAGGAGAACTACAAACCACTGCTCAAGGAAATAAAATAGGATACAAACAAATGGAAGAACATTCCATGCTCATGGGTAGGAAGAATCAATATCGTGGAAATGGCCATACTGCCCAAGGTAATTTACAGATTCAATGCCAACCCCATCAAGCTACCAATCACTTTCTTCATAGAATAGGAAAAACTACTTTAAAGTTCATAGGAATCAAAAAATAGCCCGCATCACCAAGACAATCCTAGGCCTAAAGAACAAAGCTGGAGGCATCACACTACCTGACTTCAAACTATACTGCAAGGCTACAGTAACCAAAACAGCATGGTACTGGTACCAAAACAGAGATATAGATCAATGGAACAGAACAGAGCCCTCAGAAATAACGCCACATATCTACAACTATCTGATCTTTGACAAACCTGAGAAGAACAAGCAATAGGGAAAGGATTCCCTATTTAACAAATGGTGCTGGGAAAACTGGCTAGCCTTATGTAGAAAGCTGAAACTGGATCCCTTCCTTATACCTTATACAAAAATCAATTCAAGATGGATTAAAGACTTAAACATTAGATGTAAAACCATGAAAACCCTAGAAGAAATCCTAGGCATTACCATTCAGGACATAGGCATGGTCAAGGACTTCATGTCTAAAACACCAAAAGCAGTGCCAATAAAAGCCAAAATTGACAAATGGGATCTAACTAAACTAAAGAGCTTCTGCACTGCAAAAGAAATTACCATCAGAATGAACAGGCAAACTACAAAATGGGAGAAAATTTTCACAACCTACTCATCTGACAAAGAGCTAATATCCAGAATCTACAATGAACTCAAACAAATTTACAAGAAAAAAACAAACAACCCCATCAAAAAGTGGGCAAAGGACATGAACTGACACTTCTCAAAAGAAGACATTTATGCTGCCAAAAAACACATGAAAAAATGCTCACCCTCACTGGCCATCAGAGAAATGCAAATCAAAACCGCAATGAGATACCATCTCACACCAGTTACAATGGCAATCATTAAAAAGTCAAGAAACAACAGGTGCTGGAGAGGATGTGGAGAAATAGGAACACTTTTACACTGTTGGTGGGACTGTAAACTAGTTCATCCATTGTGGAACTCCGTGTGGGGATTCCTCAGGGATCTAGGACTAGAAATACCATTTGACCCAGCCATCCAATTACTGGGTATATACCCAAAGGACTATAAATCATGCTGCTATAAAGAAACATGCACATGTATGTTTATTGTGGCACTATTCACAATAGCAAAGACTTGGAACCAACACAAATGTCCAACAATGATAGACTGGATTAAGAAAATGTGGCACACATACACCATGGAATACTATGCAACCATAAAAATGATGAGTTCATGTCGTTTGTAGGGACATGGATGAAATTGGAAATCATCATTCTCAGTAAACTATCGCAAGAAAAGAAACCAAACACCGCATATTCTCACTCATAGGTGGGAATTGAACAATGAGATCACATGGACACAGGAAGTGGAACATCACACTCTGGGGACTGTTGTGGGGTGGGGGGAGGGGAGAAGGATGGCATTGGGAGATATACCTAATGCTAGAGGACGAGTTAGTGGGTGCAGCACACCAGCATGGCACATGTATACATACGTAACTAACCTGCACATTGTGAACATGTACACTAAAACTTGAAGTATAATAATAACAAAAATAAATAAACTCCAACGCCCCCCACTCCCCACCCATCAAAAGAAAGCTTAACAGCAGAGATGCCTGCTTTTCAAATTAAAATGTTTATCATTCCAAAAAAAAAAAAAAACTAGACAGAAGCATTCTCAGAAACTTCTCTGTGATGTTTGCATTCAACTCACAGAGTTGAACATACCTTTTCATAGAGCAGTTTTGAAACACTCTTTTCATAGTATCTGCAGGTGGATATTTGGATGGCTTTGAGGCCTTCATTGGAAACGGGAATATCTTCACATAAAAACTAGACAGAAGCATTCTCAGAAATCTCTTTGTGATGTTTGCATTCTACTCACAGAGTTGAACATACCTTTTCATAGAGCAGTTTTGAAACACTCTTTTCATAGTATCTGCAGGTGGATATTTGGACGGCTTTGAGGCCTTCACTGGAAACGGGAATATCTTCACATAAAAACCAGACAGAAGCATTCTCAGAAATCTCTTTGTGATGTTTGCATTCTACTCACAGAGTTGAACATACCTTTTCATAGAGCAGTTTTGAAACACTCTTCGTAGAATCTGTAAGTGGATATTTGGACCGCTTTGAGGCCTTTGGTGGAAACGGGAATATTTTCACATAAAAACTAGACAGCAGCATTCTCAGAAACTTCTTTGTGATGTTTCCATTCCACTCACAGTGCTGAACATTCCTTTTCACAGAGCAGTTTTGAAACACTCTTTTTGTAGAATCTGCAAGTGGATATATGGAACTCTTTGAGGCCTTCTCTGGAAACTGGAATATCTTCATATAAAAACTAGACAGAAACAGTCTCGGAAACTTCTTTGTGTTGTGCGCATTCAATTCACAGAGTAGAAACTTCCTTTTCATAGATCAGTTTTGAAACACTCTTTTTGTGGAATCTGCAAGTGGATATTTGGAGCGCTTTGAGGCCTAAGGTAGAAAAGGAAATGTCTTCATATTAAAAACTAGACAGAAGCATTCTCAGAAACTACTTTGTGATGTGTGCATCCAACCTACAGAGTTGAACCTTTCTTTTCATAGACAAGTTTTGAAAAACTCTTTTTGTAGAATCTGCAATTGGACATTTTGAGCACTTTGATGCCTGTGGTGAAAAGGGAAATAACTTCACATAAAAATCAGACCGAAGCATTCTCAGAAACTTCTTTGTGATGTGTGCATTCAACTCACAGAGTTTAACCTTCGTTTTGATAGAGTAGTTTTGAAACACTCTTTTTGTAGAATCTGGAATTGGATATTTGGAGCGCTTTGAGGTCTATGGTGGAAAAGGAAGTGTCTTCACATAAAAAGTAGACAGATGGATTCTCAGAAATTTCTTTGTTATGTGTTCGTTCAACAAACAGAGGTGAACCTTTCTTTTGATAGAGCAGTTTTGAAACACTATTTTTGTAGAATCTGCAAGTGGATATTTGGAGCTCTTTGAGGCCTATGTTGGAAACGGGAATATCTTCACATAAAATCTTGACAGAAGTATCCTAGAAACTTCTTTGTGATGTGTGCATTCAACTCACAGAATTGGACCTCCCTTTTCATACAGCAGTTTTGAAACACTCTTTTTGAAGAATCTGCAAGTGGATATTTGAGCGCTTTAAGGTCTATGATGGAAAAGGAAGTTTCTTCACCTAAAGAGTAGACAGAAGCATTCTCAGAAACTTCTTTGTGAAGTGTGCATTCAACTAAAAGAGTTGAACTTTTCTTTTGATAGAGCAGTTTTGAAACACTCTTTTTGTAGGATCGGCAAGTGGATATTTGGAGCACTTTGAGGCCTTCGGTGGAAACAAGAATATCTTCACGTAATATCTTCATTCTGAGAACCTTCTTTGTGATGGGTGCATTCAACTCACGGAGTTCAACCTTCCTTTTCATAGAGCAGTTTTGAATCACTCTTTTCATAGAATCTGCAAGTGGATATTTTGAGCCCTTTGAGGCCTATGTTGGAAAAGGACATATCTTCATATAAAAATTATACAGAAGCATTATCAGAAACTATATTGTGATGTGCATTGACCTCATGAAGATAACACTTCCTTTTGATAGATCAGTTTTGAAACACTCTTTTTGTAGAATCTGCAAGTGGATATTTGGAGTGCTTTTAGGCCTTTGGTGGAAAGGGGTATATCTTCACATGTAAACTGGACAGAGGCAATCTCAGTATCTTCTTTGTGATGTGTGCATTCAACTCACAGAGTTGAAATTTCCTTTTCTTAGAGCAGTTTTGAAACACTCTATTTTAGAATCTGCAAGTGAATATTTGGAGCAGTTTGAGGTCTATGGTGGAAAAGGAAATGTCTGCAAACAAAAACTAGACAGAAGCATTCTCAGAAACTTCTTTGTGATGTTTGCATTGAACTCACAGAGCTGAACATTCCTTTTCATAGAGCAGTTTTGAAACACTCTTTTTGTAGAATCTGCAAGAGGATATTTGGACCGCTTTTAGGCCTTAGGGGTAATAGGGAATATCTTCACATAAAAACTAGAAGGAAGCATTCTCAGAAACTTCTTTCGGATGTGTGCATTCAACTCACAGATTTGAACCTTCGTTTTCATAGTGCAGTTTTGAGACACTCGTTTTGTGGAATCTGCAGTTTGATATTTGGAGCGATTTGAGGCCTACGGTGGAAACAGTAATATCTTCACAAGAAAACTAGACAGAAGCATTCTCAGAAACTTATTTGTGATTTGTCCATTCACCTGGGAGAGTTGAACCTTCCTTTTGATACAGCAGTTTTGACAGAGGCTTTTTGTAGAATCTGCAAGTATATATTTGGAGATTTTGAGGCCTACGTGGAAACGGGAATATCTTCACAGAAAAACTAGACAGAAGCATTTTCAGAAAGTAATTTGTGATGCTTGCATTCAACTCAGGGAGTTAAACCTTCCTTTTGGCAGAGCAGCTTTGAAAAATCTTGTTGTAGAATCTGCAAGTGGATATATGGAGTGCTTTGATGCCTATGGTAGAAAAGGAAATACCTTTATATAAAAACTACACAGAAGCATTCTCAGAAACTACTTTGTGATGTGTGCATTCAAATCCCAGAGTTGAACCTTTCTTTTGATAGAGCAGTTTTGAAACACTCTCTTTGTAGAATCTGTAGATGGATATACGGAGCGCTTTTAGGCCTTCGGTGGAAAGACGAATATCTCCACTTAAAAACTAGACAGAAGCATTCTCAGAAACTTCATTTTGATGTGGGCATTCAACTCACAGAGTTGAATATTCCTTTTCATAAAGCACTTTTGAAACACTCTTTTTATAGAATCTGCAAGTGGACATTTGGAGCGCTTTGAGGCCTTTGTTGGAAATGGGAAAATCCTCACCTAAAAATTAGACAGAAGCATTCTCAGAAACTTCATTGTGACGTGTGCATTCAACTCAAAGAGTAGAACCTTTCTTTTGATAGAGCAGTTTTGAAACACTCTTTTTGTAGAATCTGCAAGTGGACGTTTGCAGCGCTTTGAGGCCTGTGGTGGAAAGGGAAATATCTTCACATAAAAACTAGACAGAAGCATTCTCAGAAACTTCTTTGTGATGTGTGCATTCAACTCACAGACTTGAGCATTGCTTTTGATAGAGCAGTTTTGAAACACTCTTTTTGTAGAAGGTTCAACTGGATATTTGGAGCGCTTTGAGGCCTATGGTGGAAATGGGAATATCTTCACATAAAAACTAGACAGAAGCATTCTCTGAAACTTCTTTGTGACGTGTGAATTCAACTCATGGAGTTGAACCTTCCTTTTGATAGAGCAGTCTTGAAACACTCTTTTTGTAGAATATGCAAGTGGACATTTGGAGCGCTTTGTGGCGTGTGCTGGAAAAGGAAATATCGTCCCATAGAAACTAGATAGAAGCATTCTCAGTAACTTCTTGTGATGTGTGCTTTCAACTCAGAGAGTTGAACCTTCCTTTTGATAGATCAGTTTTGAATGCCTCTTTTTGTAGAATCTGCAAGTGGATATTTGGAGTGCTTTTAGGCCTACAGTGGAAACCGGTATATCTTCACATAAAAACTAGACAGAAGCATTATCAGAAACTTCTTTGTGATGTGTGCATTCAATTCAGAGAGTTTAACCTCCATTTTTTTAGAGCAGTTTTGAAACACACTTTTTGTAGAATCTGCAACTGGATATTTGGAGTGCTTTGAGGCCTATGGTACAAAAGGAAATATATTCATATAAAAACTACACAGAAGCATTCTCAGAAACTATGTTGTGATGTTTGGGTTTAACTCACAGAGTTGAACAATCCTTTTGATTGAGCAGTTTTGAAACACTCTTTTTGTAGAATCTGCAAGTGGATATTTGGACCGCTTTGAGGCCTTCGGTGGAAACGAGAATATCTTCACATAAAAATTAGACAGAGGCATTCTCAGAAACTTCTTTGGGATGTGTTCATTCAACTCACAGTGTTGAACTTTCTTTTGATAGAGCAGTTTTGAAACACTCTTTTTGTACAATCTACAAGTGGATAATTTAAGCTCTTTGAGGCCTACGGTGGAAACGGGAATATCTTCACATAAAAACTAGACAGAAGCATTCTCAGAAACTTCTTTGTGATGTGTGCATTCAACTCAGAGAGTTGAACCATCCTTTTGATAGAGCAGTTTTGAAACACTCATTTTGTAATATCTGCAGGTGGATATTTGATCGCAAGGAAGGCATCAGTGGGAACACAAATATTTTCACATAGAAACTAGAAAGAAGTATTCTCAGAAACTTCTTTGTGATGTTTGCATTCAACTCACAGAGTTGAACGCTCCTTTTGATAGTGCAGTTTTGAAACACTCTTTTTATAGAATCTGCAAGTGGATATTTTGAGCACTATGTGGCCTACAGTGGAAACGGGAATATCTTCATATAAAACGAGATAGAAGCATTCCCAGAAACTACTTTGTGATGTGTGCACTCAACTCGGAGAGTTGAACTGTCCTTTTGATAGAACAGTTTTGCATCTCTCTTTTGGTAGAATCTGCAAGTGGACATTTGGAGCCACTTGTGGCCTATTTTGGAAAAGGAAATATCTTCACAAAAAAACTATACAGCAGCTTTCTCAGAAACTTCTTTGTGATGTGTGCATTCATCTCATAGTGTTGAACCCTTCTTTTGCTTGAGCAGTTTTGAAACACACTTTATAAAATCTGCAAGTGGATATTTGAAGCACTTTGAGGCCTATTGTGGAAAGGGAATATCTTCACATTAAAATTACGCAGAAGTGTTCTCAGAAACTTCTTTGTGATGTGTGCATTCATCTCAGAGAGTTGGAGTTTTCTTTGGATTGAGCAGTTTGGAAACACTCTTTTTGTAGAATCTGCAAATAGATATTTGGAGCGCTTTGAGGCCTATGGTGGAAAAGGAAATATCTTCACATAAAAACTACACAGAAGCATTCTGAGAAACTTCTTTGTGATCTGTGCATTCATCTGAAAGAGTTGAAACTTTCTTTTGATTGAGCAGTTTTGAAAAACTCTTTTTGTAGAAACTGCAAATTAGATATTTGAAGCACTTTCAGGCCTCTGGTGGAAAAGGAAATATATTCACATAAAAACTGCACAGAAGCATTCTGAGAAACTTCTGTGTAATGTGTGCATTCAACTCACTGCGTTGAGTCTCTACTTTGATAGAGAAGTTTTGAAACTCTCTTTTTGTAGAATCTGCAAGTGGATATTTGGAGTGCTTTGAAGCCTATGGTGGAAAAGGAAATATCTTCACATAAAAACTACACAGAAACTTTCTCAGAATCTTCTTTGTGATGTGTGCATTCACATCACAGTTTTTGAAGAATCTGCAAGTGGATAATTGGAGCCCTTTGAGGCCTATGGTGGAGAAGGAAATATCTTCACATAAAAAGTATGCAGAAACATTCTAAGAAACTTGTTTGTGATGTGTGCATTCATCTCACGGAATTGAACCTCTCTTTTGATTGTGCACTTTTGAAACCCTCTTTTTGTGGAATCTGCAAGTGGATATTTGGAGCGCTTCGAAGCCTATGATGGAAAAGGAAATATCTTCACAAAAAAACTACACAGAAGAATTCCGAGATACTTCATTGTGATGTGTGCATTCAACTCGCAAATTTGAACCTATCTTTTGATCAAGCAGTTTCAAAACTCTATTTTTGTAGCATCTTCAAGTGGATACATGGAGCCCTTTGTGGCCTATGATGGAAAAGGAAATATCTTCACATAAAAACTACACAGAAGCATTCTGAGAAACTTCTTTGTGATGTGTGAATTCATCTCACAGAGTTGAGTCTTTCATTTTATTGAGCAGTTTTGTAACACTCTTTTTGTAGAATCTGCAAGGGGATATTTACAGCACTTTGGGGCCTATTGTGGAAAAGGAAATATCTTCACATAAAAACTACACAGAAGCATTCTGACAACTTCTTTGTGATGTGTGCACTCATCTCACAGAGTTGAACCTTTCTCTTGATTGAGCAGTTTGGAAACACTCTTTTTGTAGAATCTGCAAGTGTATATTTGGAGCGCTTTGAAGCCTATGGTGGAAGAGGAAATATCTTCACATGAAAACTACACAGAAGCACTCTGAGAAACTTCTGTGTGATGTGTGCACTCAACTCACAGAGTTGAACCTGTCGTTTGATTGAACAGTTTTGTATTTCTGTTTCTGCAGAATATAGAACCGGATATTTTGAGCCCTTTGTGGTCTATTTTTGAAAAGGAAATATCTTCACAAAAAAACTACACAGAAGCATTCTGAGGAACTTCCTTGTGATGTGTGCATTCATCTCATAGAGCTGAAACTTTTATTTGATTGAGCAGTTTTGAAACACCCTTCTTGTAGAATTTGAAAGTGGATATTCAGATCGCATCAAGGTCTATTGTGGAAAAGGAAATATCTTCACATAAAAAATAAACAGAAGCACTCTGAGAAACTCCTTTGTGATGTGTGCATTCATCTCACAGAGTTTAAACTTTCTTTTGATTGAGCAGTTTTGAAACACTCTTTTGATAGGATCTGCAAGTGGATATTTGAAGCCCTTTGATGCCCAGAGTGGAAAAGGAAATATCTTCACACAAAAACTACACAGAAGCATTCTGAGAAACTTCTTTGTGATGTGTGCATTCATCTCAGAGAGTTGAACCGCCTTTGGTTGAGCAGGTTTGAAACAGACTTTTTGTAGAACCTGCAGGTGGATATTTGGAGCACTTTGAGTCCTGTTTTGGAAAAGGAAATATCTTCACATAAAAAGTACACAGAAGTATTCTGAGAAACTTGTTTGTGATGTGTGCATTCATCTCACAGAGTTGAACCTCTGTTTTGATTGTGCACTTTTGAAACCCTCTTTTTGTGGAATCTGCAAGTGGATATTCGGAGCAATTTGACGCCTATGGTGGAAAAGGATATAGCGTCACAAAAAACCTGCACAGAAGAATTCCGAGATACTTCATTGTGATGTGTGCATCCAACTCACAAATTTGAACTTATCTTTTGATCCAGCAGTTTCAAAACTCTCTTTTTGTAGCATCTTCAAATGGACACATGGAGCCATTTGTGGCCTACGATGAAAAAGGAAATATCTTCACATAAAAACGACACAGAAACATTCTGACAAATTTCTTTGTGATGTGTGAATTCATCTCACAGAGTTGAGCCTTTCATTTTATTGAGCAGTCTGGAAACACTCTTTTTGTAGAATCTGCAAGTGGATATATGGAGCTCTTTGAGGCCTATGGTGGAAAAGGAAATATCTTCACATAGAAACTACCCAGAAGCATTCTGAGGAACTACTTTGTGATGTATGCATTCAATTCACAGAGTTGAACCTACCTTTTGATAGAGCAGTTTTGAAACTCTCTTTTTGTAAAATCTTCAAGTGGATATTTGGAGCCCTTTGAAGCCTATGGTGGAAAAAGGAATATCTTCATAGAAAAACTACACAGAAGCATTCTGAGAAACTTCTTTGTGATGTGTGCATTCATCTCACAGAGTTCAACCTCTCCTTTGATTGAGCAGTTTTGAAACACTCTTTTTGTAGAATCTGCAAGTGGATATTTGGAGCGCTTTGTGGCCTATGATGGAAAAGGAAAAATTTTCACATAAAAACTACACAGAAGCATTCTGAGAATCTTCTTTGTGATGTGTGCATTCACCTCAGAGAGTTGAAACTGTCTTTTGATTGAGCAGTTTTGAAACAGACTTTTTGTAGAACCTGCAGATGGATATTTGGAGCGCTTTGAGGCCTATTTTGGAAAAGGAAATATCTTCACATAAAAAGTACACAGAAGCATTCTGAGAAACTTGTTTGTGATGTGTGCATTCATCTCACAGAGTTGAACCTCTCTTTCGATTGTGCACTTTTGAAACCCTCTTTTTGTGGAATCTGCAAGTGGATATTCGGAGCATTTTGACGCCAATGGTGGGAAAGGAAATATCTTCACATAAAACCTACACAGAAGAATTCCAAGATACTTCTTTGTGATGTGTGCATTCAACACAGAAATTTGAACATATCTTTTGATGGAGCAGTTTCGAAACTATCTTTTTATAGCACCTTCAAGTGGATACATGGAGCCCTTTTTGGCCTATGATGGAAAAGGAAATATCTTCACATAAAAACTACACAGAAGCATTCTGAGAAACTTCTTTGCAATGGGTGCGTTCCTCTCACAGAGTAGAACCTTCATTTTGATTGAGCAGTTTGGAAACACTCTTTTTGTAGAATCTGCAAGTGGATATTTGGAGTGTTTTGAGGCCTATGCTGGAAAAGGAAATAACTTCACATAAAAACTACACAGAAGCATTCTGAGAATCTTCTTTGTTATGTGTGCATTCATCTCACAGAGTTGAACCTTTCTTTTCATTCAGCAGTTTGGAAACACTCTTTTTGAAGAATCTGCAAG
Source organism: Homo sapiens (assembly GCF_000001405.40). Lineage (NCBI taxonomy): Eukaryota > Metazoa > Chordata > Mammalia > Primates > Hominidae > Homo > Homo sapiens. The sequence continues at coordinate 30,961,579 of NC_000020.11, read as the reverse complement.
TAGATATTTGGAGCACTTTGAGGCCTATGGTGGAGAAGGTAATATCTTCACATAAAAAGTACACAGAAGCATTCTGAGAAACTTGTTTGTGATCTGTGCATTCATCTCACAGAGTTCAAACTCTCTTTTGATTATGCACTTTTGAAACACTCTTTTTCTGGAATCAGCAAGTGGATATTCGAAGCAATTTGATGACTATCGTGGAAAAAGAAATATCTTCGCATAAAAACTACACAGAAGAATACCGAGAAACTTCTTTGTGATGTCTGCATTCAACTCACAGATTTGAACCTATCTTTTGATTGAGCAGTTTCAAAACTCTCTTTTTGTAGCATCTTCAAGTGGATACTTGGAGCCCTTTGTGGACTAGGATGGAAAAGGAAATATCTTCAAATAAAAACTACTAAGAAGCATTCTGAGAAACAGCTTTGTGATGTGTAGATTCATCTCACAGAGTTAAGCCTCTCATTTTATTGAGCAGTTTGGAAACACTCTTTTTGTAGAATCTGCAAGGGGATATTTGGAACGCTTTAAGGCCATTTGTGGAAAAGGAAATATCTTCAGATAAAAACCACACAGAAGCATTCTGAGAAACTTCTTTGTGATGTGTGCATTCATCTCACATATTTGAACATTTCTTTTTATTGAGCAGTTTGGAAACACTCTTTCTGTAGAATCTGCAAGTGGATATTTGGAGTGCTTTGAGCCCTATAGCAGAAAAAGAAATATCTTCACATAAAAACTACACAGAAGCACTCTTAGAAACTTCTTTGTTATATGTACATTGAACTCACAGAACTGAACCTATCTTTCTATAGAGCAGTTTTGAAACTGTGTAGAATCTGCAAGTGTATATTTGGAGCCCTTTGTGGCCTATGGTGGAAAAGGGAATATCTTCACATAAAAACTACACAGAAGCATTCTGAGAAACTTCTTTGTGACGTGTGCATTCATCTCACAGAATTGAATTTTTCTTTTGACTGAGCAGTTTTGAAACACTCTTTTTGTAGAATCTGCAAGTGGATATTTGGAGCACTTTGAGGCCTACTGCAGAACAGGAAATACCTTCACATAAACAACATACAGAAGCATTCTGAGAAACTTCTTTGTGATGTGTGCATTCATCTTACAGAATTGAATCTATCTTTTGATTGAGCCCTTTTTAATCTATCTTTTTGTAGAATCTGCAAGTGGATACTTAGGGCGCTTTGAGGCCTATTGTTGAAAAGGAAATATCTTCAGAAAAAAACTACACAGAAGCATTCTGAGAAAGTTCTTTGTGATGTGTCCATTCCACCCACACACCTGAACCTATCTTTTGATAGACCAGTTTTGAAACTCTCTTTTTGTAGAATCTGCAAGTGCATATTTTCATCCCTTTGCGGCATATGGTGGAAAAGGAAATATCTTCACATACAAAGTCCACAGAAGGATTCTCAGAAACATCTTTGTGTTGTGTGCATTCACCTAATAGAGTTGAACCTTTCTTTTGATTGAGCAGTCTTGAAACACTCTTTTTGTAGAGTCTGCAAGTGGATATTTGGAGAGCTTAGAGGACAACTGTGGAATAAGAAATATCTTTGCATAAAAAGTATATAGAAGCATTCTGAAAAACTTCTTTGTGATATGTGCATTCATCTCACAGAGTTGAAACTTTCTTTTCATTGAGCAGTTTGGAAACACTCTTTTTGTAGAATCTGTAATTGGATATTTAGAGCACTTTGAGGTCTATGTTGGAAAAGGGAATATCTTCACATAAAAACTAAACAGAAGTATTCTGAGACACTACTTTGTGATGTGTCAATTTGACTCACAGAGTTGAACCTATCCTTTGATGGCACGGTTTTGAATTTCTCTTTTTGTAGAATCTGCAAGTGGATATTTTGATCCCTTTGCTGCCTATTTTTGAAAAGGAAATATCTTCAAATAAAAACTACACGAAAGCATTCTGAGAAACTTCTGTGTGATGTGTGCATTCATCTCAAAAATCTGAAACTTTCTTTTGATGCAGCAGTTTAGAAAGACTCTTTTTGAAGAATCTGCTAGTAGGTATTTGAAGTGCTTTGAGGCCTATTGTGGAAAAGGAAATATCTTCACATAAAAACTACACAGAAGCATTCTGAGAAACTTCTTTTTGATGTGTGCATTCATCTCACAGAGTTGAACTTTTCTTTCAATTGATCTATTTTCAAACACTCTTTTTGTAGCATCTGCAAGTGGATATTTGGAGCACTTTGAAGCCAATGGTGGAAAAGGAAATATCTTCACATAAAAACTACAAAGAAGAATTCTGAGAAACTACTTTGTGATGTGTGCATTCAACTCACTGTGTTGAACCTTTGTTTTGATAGAGAATTTTTGAAACTCTCTTTTTATAGTATAGGCAAGTGGATATTTGGAGCCCTTTGCAGCCTATGGTGGAAAAGGAAATATCTTCACATAAAAATTACACAGAAGCATTTTGAGAAACTACTTTCTGATGTGTGAATTCATCTCACAGAATTGAAACTTTCTTTTGATTGAGCAGTTGTGAACCACTCTTTTTATCGAATCTGGAAGTGGATATTTGAAGCCCTGTGAGGCTTATTGTGGAAAGGGAAATATATTCACATAAAACTACACAGAAGCATTCTGAGAAACTTCTTTTTGATGTGCATTCATCTCACACTGTTGAACCTTCGTTTCGATTGAGCAGTTTTGAAACACTCTTTTTGTAGCATCTGCAAGTGGATATTTGGAGCACTTTGAGGCCTACTGTGGAAAAGGAAATATCTTCACATAAACAATATACAGAAGCATTCTGAGAAACTTCTTTGCGATGTGTGCATTCATCTTACAGAATTGAACCTATGTTTGGATTGAGTACTTCTTAATCTATCTTTTTGTAGAATCTGCAACTGGATACTTGGGGCGCTTTGAGGCCTATTGTTGAAAAGGAAATATCTTCACAAAAAAACTACACAGAAGCATTCTGAGAAAGTTCTTTGGATGTGTCCATTCCACCCACACACCTGAACCTATCTTTTGATAGACCAGTTTTGAAACTCTCTTTTTGTAGAATCTGCAAGTGCATATTTTCAGCCCTTTGTGGCGTGTGGTGGAAAAGGATATATCTTCAAATAAAAAGTCCACAGAAGGATTCTCAGAAACTTCTTTGTGTTGTGTGCATTCACCTGAAAGAGTTGAACCTCTCTTTTGATTGAGCAGTCTTGAAACACTCTTTTTGTGCAATCTGCAAGTGGATATTTGGAGAGCTTACAGGACTACTGTGGAATAGGAAATATCTTCGAATAAAAAGTATATAGAAGCATTCTGAGAAACTTCTTTGTGATATGTGCATTCATCTCATAGAATTGAACCTTTCCTTTGATTGAGCAGTTTGGAAATACTCTTTTGGAAGGATCTGCAAGTAGATATTTGAAGCGCTTTGAGGCCTATTGTGGAAAAGGGAATATCTTCACATAAAAACTACACAGAAGCATTCTGAGAGACATCTTTGTGATGCGTGCACTCATCTCACCGAGTTGAAACTTTCTTTTGATTGAGCAATTTTGAAACATTCTTTTTGTAGGATCTGCAAGTGGATATTTGAAGCGCTTTGAGGCCTACGGTGGAAAAGGAAATATCTTCATATAAAAACTACAAAGAAGCATTCTGAGAAACTTCTTTGTGATGTGTGCATTCAACTCACAGAGTTGAACCTTTCTTTTGATACAGCGGTTTTGAAACTCTCTGTTTGTAGTATCTGCAAGTGGATATTTGGAGCCCTTTGCAACCTATTTTTGAAAAGGAAATATCTTCACATCAAAACACAGAAGCATTCTAAGAAACTACTTTCTGATGTGTGAATTCATCTCACATAGTTGAAACTTTCTTTTGATTGAGCAGTTATTAAACACTCTTTTGGCAGAATTTGGAAGTGGATATTTGAAGCCCTGTGAGGCCTACTGTGGAAAGGGAAATATGTTCACATAAAACTACACAGAAGCATTCTGAGAAACTTCTATGTGATGCATGCATTCAACTCACAGAGTTGAACCTATCTTTTGATTGAGCAGTTTTGAATCTCCCTTTTTGTAGAATCTGCAAGTGGATATTAGGAGCTCTTTGCAGCCTGTTTTGCAAAAGGAAATATCTTCACATAAAAACTACACAGAAGCATTCTGAGAAGCTTCTTTGTGATGTGTGCAATCATCTCATGGAGGTGAACCTTTCTTTTGATTGAGCAGTTTTGAAACACTCTTTTTATAGAATCTGCAAGTGGATATTTGAAGCTCTTTGAGGCCTATTGTGGAAAAGGAAATATCTTCACATAAAAACTATACAGAGGCATTCTGAGAAACTTCCTTGCGATGTGTGCATTCATCTCACAGAGTTGAAACTTTCTATTGATTCAGCAGTTTCGAAACACTCTTTTTGTAGAATCGGCAAGTGGATATTGGGAGGGCTTTGAGGCCTATGGTGTAAAAGGAAATATCTTCACATAAAAACTAGACAGAAGCATTCTGAGAAACTTCTTTGTGATGTGCACATTCATCTCACAGTGTTGAACATTTGATTTCATTGAACAGTTCTGAAACACCCTTTTTTTAGAATCTGCAATTGGATATTTGGAGCACTTTGAGGACTATAGCGGAAAAGGAAATATCTTCACATAAAAACTACAAAGAAGCATTCGGAAAAACTTCTTTGTCATGTCTGCATTCAACTCACAGAGTTGAACATATCTGTTGATTCAGCAGTTTTGAATCTCTCTTTTTGTAGAATCTGCAGGTGGAAATTGGGAGCCCTTTGAGGCCTATGGTGGAAAAGGAATTATCTTCACATAAAAATTACGCAGAAGCATTCTGAAAAACTTCTTTTTGATGTGTGCATTCATCTCTCACAGTTGAGCCTTTCTTTTGACTGAGCAGAAAAACTCTTTTTGTAGAATCTGGAATTGGATATTTGGATTACTTTCAGGCCTATTGTGGAAAAGGAAATACCGTCATATAAAAACTACATAGAAGCATTCTGAGAAACTTCTTTGTGATGTGTGCATTCATCTCACAGTGTTGAAACTTTCTTTTGACTGAGTAGTTTGTAAACACTGTTTTTGTAGAATCTGCAAGTGGATATTTGGAGTGCTTTGAGGCCTATGGTGGAAAAGGAAATCTCTTCACATTAAAACTACACAGAAGCACTCTGATAAACTTGTTTGTGATGTGAGCATTGAACTCAGAGTGTTGAACCTATCTTTTGAATGAGCAGTTTTGAAACTCTCTTTTTATAGAATCTGCAATTGGATATTTGGAGAGCTTTGTGGCCTGTGCATGAAAAGGAAATATCTTCACATAAAAACTACACAAAGCATTCTGAGAAATTTCCTTGTTATGTGTTCATTCATCTCACAGAGTTTAGCCTTTAACTTGATTGAGCAGTTAGAGAAAATCTGTTTGTAGAATCTGCAGGTGTATATTTTGAGGCCTTTGAGGCCTTTTGTGGAAAAGGAAATATCTTCAACTTAAAACTACACAGAATCATTCTGACCAACTTCTTTGCCATGTGTGCATTCATCTCATAGATTTTAACGTTTCTTTTGATTGAGCAGTTTGGAAACAGTCTTTTTGTAGGATATGCAAGTGGATATTTGTGGCTCTTTTAGGCCTGTGGTGGAAAAGGAAATATCTTCAAATAAAAACTACACAGAAGCATTCTTAGAAACTTCTTCGTGTTGTGTGCCTTCATCTCACAAAGCTTAACCTTTCTTTTGATTGAGCAGTTTTGAAACACTCTTTTTGTAGAATCTACATGTGGATATTTGGAGCGCTTTGAAGCGTGTTGTGGAAAAGGAAATATCTTCATATAAAAATTACACAGAAACATTCTGAGAAACTTCCTTGTGATATGTGCATTCATCTCACACAGTTGAAACTTTCTTTTGATTGGGCAGTTTTGAAACACTCTTTTTGCAGAATCTGCAAGTGGATATTTGGAGTACTTTGAGACCTATTGTGGAAAAGGAAATATCTTCACATAAAAACTACACAGAAGCACTCTGAAGAACTTCTTTGTGATGGGAGCATTCAACTCACAGAGTTGAACCTATCTTTTGTATGAGTAGTTTTGAAATTCTCTTTTTGTAGTATCTGCAAGTGGGTATTTGGAGCCCTTAGTGGCCTATGTCGGAAAAGGAAATATCTCCACATAAAAACTACAGAGAAGCATTCTGAGAAATTTCTTTGTTATGTGTGCATTCATTTCACAGGCTTGAATCTTTCTTTTGATTGAGTAGTTTGGAAACACACTTTATTAATCTGCAAGTGGATATTTGGAGCTCTTTCAGGCCTATCGTGGAAAAGGAAATATCTTCACATAAAAATTACACTGAAGAATTCTGAGAAACTTCTTTGTGATGTGTGCGTTCATCACACAGAGTTTAACCTTTCTTTGATGAACAGTTTGAGCAGTTTTGAAACACTCTTTTTGTAGCATCTGCATGTGGATATTTGGAGCCCTTTGAGGCCTATTATGGAAAAGGAAATATCTACACATAAATCTACACTGAAGCATTGAGAGAAACTTCTTTTTGATGTGTGCATTCATTTCACTGAGTTGCACTTTTCCTTTGATTGAGCAGTTTTGAAACACTCTTTTTGTAGTATCTGCAAGTGGATATTTGGAGAACTTTGAGACCTATGGTGGAAAAGGAAATATCTTCACATAAAAACTATGCCAAAGCATTCTGAGAAACTATATTGTGATTTATGTATTCATCTCAAAGAGATGGACTTATCTTTTGAAACAGCAATTTTAATTCTCTCTTTTTGTAGAAACTGAAAGTGAATATTTTGAGCCCTTTTTGGACTATGGTGGAAAAGGAAATATATTCACATAAAAACTACATGGACGCATTCTGAGAAACTTCTTTGTGATGTGTGCATTCATCTCACAGAGTTGAACATTTCTTTTGATGGAGCAGTTTTGAAACACTCTTTTTTTAGAATCTGCAAGTGGATATTTGGAGCATGATGAGGCCTATGGTGGAAAAGAAAATAGCTTCACATGAAAACTACACAGAAGCATTCTGACAAACTTTTTTGTGATGTGTCCATTCATCTCACAGAGTTGAAATTTTCTTTTCATTGAGCAGTTTGGAAACACTCTTTTTGTGTAATCTGCAAGTGGATCTTCGGAACGCTTTGATGCCTATAGTGGAAAAGGAAATATCTTCACATAAAAACTGCACAGAAGCATTCTGAAAACCTTCTTTGGGATACGTGCCTTCAACTCAGTGTGTTGAACCTATCTAAATAAAAACTACACAGAAGCATTCTGAGAAACGTCTTTGTAATGTGCACATTCACCTCACAGTGCTGAACGTTTCTTTTGATAGAGCAGTTTGCAAACACCCTTTTTATAGAATCTGCAAGTGGATATTTGAAGCGCTTTGAGGCCTATTGTGCAAAAGAAAATATATTCACATAAAAACTACACAGAAACATTCTCAGAAACTTCTTTGTGATGTGTGCATTCATCTCACAGAGTTGAACTTTTCTTTTGATTGAGCAGTTTTGAAACACCCTTTTTATAGAATCAGCAAGTGGATATTTGAAGCGCTTTGAGGCCTCTTTTGGATAAGTAAATATCTTTACAAAAACTGCACAGAAGCATTCTGAGAAACTTCTTTGTGATGTGTGCATTCATCTCACAGACTTGAAACTTTCTTTTGATTGAGCTGTTTTGAAATACTCTTTATGGAAAATCAGCAGGGGGATATTTGGAGCCCTTTGCGACCTATGGTGGAAAAGGAAATATCATCACATAAGAACTACGCAGAAGCATTCTGAGAAACTTCTTTGTGATGTGTGCATTCATCACACAGAGTTGCACCTTTATTTTGATTTAGGAGTTTTGAAACACCCTTTTCGTAGAATCTGCAAGTGAATATTTGGAGCGCTTTGATGCCTGTTGTGGAAAAGGAAATATCTTCACATAAAAACTGCACAGAAGCATTCTGAGAATCTTCTTTGTGATGTGTGCATTCATCTCACACAGTCGAAACTTTCATTTGATTGAGCAGTTTGGAAACACTGTTTTTGTAGAATCTGCAAGTGGATATTTGGAGAGCTTCAAGGCCTATTGTGGAAAAGGAAATATCTTCACATAAAAACTACTAAGAAGTATTCTGATAAACTTTGTGATGTGTATATTCAACTCACAGAGTTGAAACTTTCTTTTGACTGAGCAGTTTGGTAACACTCTTTTTGTAGAATTTGCAAGTGGGTGTTTGGAGCACTCTGCGGCCCATCATGGAAAACGAGAAATCTTAACATAAAAACTAGGCAGAAGCATTCAGAGGAACATCTTTGTGATGTGAACATTTATCTCTCAGAATTGAACCTTTCCTTTGATTGAGCAGTTTTGAAACACTGTTTTTGTAGAATCTGCAAGTGGATATTTGGAGCGCTTTGTGGCCTTTGGGGAAAAGGAAATATCTTCACATAAAAACTAGACAGAAGCATTCTGAGAAGCTTCTTTGTGATGTGTGCATTCAACTCACAGAGTTGAACCTTTCTTTTGATTAAGCAGTATTGAGACGCTCGTTTTGTGTTATCTGGAAATGGATTTTTGTAGTGCTCTGCAGCCTATAGTGGAAAAATAAATATCTGCATGTAAAAACTAGTCAGAAGCATTCTGAGAGACTTCTTTGTGAGGTTTGCATTCATCTCACAGAGTTGAAACTTTCATTTGACTGAGCAGTTTTGAAACAGTCTTTTTGAAGCATCTGCAAGTGGGTATTTGCAGCACTTTGAGGCCTATGTTGGAAAAGGAAATATCTTCACATAAAAACTAGACAGAAGCATTCTGAGAAACTTCTTTGTGATGTGCCCATTCATCTGACAGAGTTGAACCTTTCTTTTGATTGAGCAGTTTGGAAACACTCTTTTTGTAGAATCTGTAAGTGGGTGTTTGGAGCGCTTTGCAGCCTATCGTGGAGCAGGAGTTATCTTCACATAAAACTAGGCAGAAGCATTCAGAGAAACATCTTTGTGATGTGAGCATTTATCTGTCAGAGTTGAACCTTTCCTTTGATTGAGCAGTTTTGAAACTTTGTTTTTGTAGAATCTGCAAGTGGATATTTGGAGCACTTTGTAGCCTTTGGTGGAACAGGAAATATCTTCACATAAACACTATACAGAAGCATTCTGAGAAGCTTCTTTGTGATGTGTGCATTCAACTCACAGAGTTGAACCTTTCTTTTGATTGAGCAGTTTTGAAACACTCGTTTTGTGGTACTGGAAATGGATATTTGTAGAGCTCTGCAGCCTATAGTGGAAAAATAAATATTTGCATGTAAAAGCTAGTCAGAAGCATTCTGAGAGACCTCTTTGTGATGTGTGCATTCATCTCACAGAGTTGAACCTTTCATTTGACTGAGCAGTTTTGAAACACTCTTTTTGTAGAATCTGCAACTGGATATTTGGAGGAGTTCGAGGCCTATGGTGGAAAAGGAAATATTCTCACATAAAAACCAGACAGAATCGTTCTGAGAAACTTCTTTGTAATATGTGCATTCATGTCACAGAGTTGAGCATTTCTTTTGTTTCAGCAGTTTGGAAACAGTCTTTTTGTAGTATCTGCAAATGGATATTTGGAGTGCTTTGTGGCCTATAGTGGAAAAGGAGTTGTCTTCACGTAAAAATTAGACAGAAGCATTCTGAGAAACTTCTTTCTGATGTGTCCATTCATCTCACAGATTTGAACTTTTCTTTTGATTGAGGAGTTTTGACACACTCTTTTAATAGGATCTGCATGTGGATATTTGGAGAACTTTGCGTCTTAAAGTGGAAAAGGAAGTATCTTCACATAAAAATTAGACAGATGTATTCTGAGAAACTTCTTTTTGTTTTTTGTTTTTTTTTATTATTTTTATGCTTTAAGATTTAAGGTACATGTGCAGAATGTGCAGGTTAGTTACATATGTATACATGTGCCATGCTGGTGTGCTGAACCCATTAACTCCTCATTTAACATTAGGTATATCTCCTAATGCTATCCCTCCCCTCTCCTCCCACCCCACAAGAGTCCCTAGAGTGTGATGTTCCCCTTCCTGTGTCCATGTGTTCTCATTGTTCAATTCCCACCTATGAGTGAGAACATGCGGTGTTTGATTTTTGTCCTTGCGATAGTTTACTGAGAATGTTGATTTCCAATTTCATCCATGTCCTATAACGGACATGAACTCATCACTTTTCATGGCTGCATAGTATTTCATGGTGTATATGTGCCACATTTTCTTAATCCAGTCTATCCTTGTTGGACATTTGGGTTGGTTCCAAGTATTTGCTATTGTGAATAGTGATGCAATAAACATAAGTGTGCATGTGTCTTTATACCAGCATGATTTATAGTCCTTTGGGTATATACCCAGTAATGGGATGGCTGGGTCAAATGGTAATTCTAGTCCTAGATCTCTGAGGAATTGCCACACTGACTTCCATAATTGTTGAACTAGTTTAAAATCCCACCAACAGTGTAAAAGTGTTCTATTTCTCCACATCCTGCCCAGCACCTGTTGTTTCCTGACCTTTTAATGAATGCCATTCTAACTGGTGTGAGATGGTATCTCACTGTGGTTTTGATTTGCATTTCTCTGATGGCCAGTGATGGTGAGCATTTTTTCATGTGTTTTTTAGCTGCATGAATGTCTTCTTTTGAGAAGTGTCTGTTCATGTCCTTCACCCACTTTTTGATGGAGTTGTTTGTTTTTTTCTTGTAAATTTGTTGGAGTTCACTGTAGATTTTGGATATTAGCCCTTTGTTTGATGAGTAGGTTGTGAAAATTTTCTCCCATTTTGTAGGTTGCCTGTTCACTCTGATGATAGTTTCTTTTGCTGTGCAGAAGCTCTTTAGTTTAATTAGACCCCATTTGTCAATTTTGGCTTTTGTTGCCATTACTTTTGGTGTTTTAGACATGAAGTCCTTGCCCATGCCTATGTCCTGAAAGGTAATGCCTAGGTTTTCTTCTAGGGTTTTTATGGTTTGGATTCACAGCTGAATTCTACCAGAGGTACAAGGAGGAACTGGTACCATTCCTTCTGAAACTATTCCATTCAATAGAAAAAGAGGTAATCTCCCTAGCTCATTTTATGAGGCCAGCATCACCCTGATAACAAAGCCTGGCAGAGACAAAACCAAAAAAGAGGATTTTAGACCAATATCCTTGATGAACATTGATGCAAAAATCCTCAATAAAATACTGGCAAACCAAATCCAGCAGCACATCAAAAAGCTTATCCACCATGATCAAGTGGTCTTCAACCCTGGGATGCAAGGCTGGTTCAACATTCACAAATCAATAAATGTAATCCAGCATATAAACAGAACCAAAGACAAAAACCACATGATTATATCAATAGTTGCAGAAAAGGCCTTTGACAAAATTCAACAACCCTAGGGGGAGGAGCCAAGATGACCGAATAGGAGCAGCTCTGTTCTACAGCTCCCAGCATGAGTGATGCAGAAGACGGTGATTTCCGCATTTCCATCCGAGGTACCAGGTTCATCTCACTAGGGAGTGCCAGACAGTGGGCGCAGGTCAGTGGGTGCATGCACTGTGCATGAGCCGAAGCAGGGTGAGGCATTGTCTCACTTGGGAAGTGCAAGGGGTCAAGGAGTTCCCATTCCAAGTCAAAGAAAGGGGTGACGAACAGCACCTGGAAAATCGGGTCACTCCCACCCGAATACTGTGCTTTTCCAATGGGCTTAAAAAACGACACAACACAAGATTATATCCTGAACCTGGCTCGGAGGGTCTTATGCCCACGGAGTCTCGCTGATTGCTAGCACAGCAGTCTGAGATCAAACTGCAAGGTGGCAGTGAGTCTGGGGGAGGGGTGCCCACCATTGCCCAGGCTTGATTAGGTAAACAAAGCAGCCTGGAATCTCGAACTGGGTGGAGCCCACCACAGCTCAAGGAGGCCTGCCTGCCTCTGTAGGCTCCACGTCTGGGGGCAGGGCACAGACAAACAAAAAGACAGCAGTAACTTCTGCAGACTTAAATGTCCCTGTCTGACAGCTTTGAAGAGAGCAGTGGTTCTCCCAGCATGCAGCTGGAGATCTGAGAACTGGAAGACTGGTCCTCAAGTGGGACACTGACCCCTGACCCCCGAGCAGCCTAACTGGGAGGCACCCCCCAGCAGGGGCACACTGACACCATACAAGGCAGGGTATTCCAACAGACATGCAGCTGAGGGTCCTGTCTGTTAGAAGAAAAACTAACAAACAGAAAGGACATCCACACCAAAAACCCATCTGTACATCACCATCATCAAAGACCAAAAGTAGATAAAACCATAAAGATGGGTAAAAAAGAGAAGAGAAAAACTGGAAACTCTAAAAAGCAGAGCACCTCCCCTCCTCCAAAGGAACGCAGTTCCTCACCAGCAATGGAACAAATCTGGATGGAGAATGACTTTGACGAGCTAAGAGAAGAAGGCTTCAGACGATCAAATTACTCTGAGCTATGGGAGGACATTCAAACCAAAGGCAAAGAAGTTGAAAACTTTGAAAAAAATTTAGAAGAATGTATAACTAGAAGAACCAATGCAGAGAAGTGCTTAAAGGAGCTGATGGAGCTGAAAACCAAGGCTCGAGAACTACGTGAAGAATGCGGAAGCCTCAGGAGCCCAATGCATTCAACTGGAAGAAAGGGTATCAGCGATGGAAGATGAAATGAATGAAATGAAGTGAGAAGGGAAGTTTAGAGAAAAAAGAATGAAAAGAAATGAGCAAACCCTCCAAGAAATATAGGACTATGTGAAGAGACCAAATCTACGTCTGATTGGTGTACCTGAAAGTGACAGGGAGAATGGAACCAAGTAGGAAAACACTCTGCAGGATATTATCCAGGAGAACTTCCCCAATCTAGCAAGGCAGGCCAACATTCAGATTCAGGAAATACAGAAAACGCCACAAAGATACTCCTGGAGAAGAGCAACTCCAAGACACATAATTGTCAGATTCAGCAAAGTTGAAATGAAGGAAAAAATGTTAAGGGCAGCCAGAGAGAAAGGTCGGGTTACCCTCAAAGGGAAGCCCATCAGACTAACAGTGAATCTCTTGGCAGAAACCCTACAAGCCAGAAGAGAGTGGGGGCCAATATTCAACATTCTTAAAGAAAATAATTTTCAACCCAGAATTTCATATCCAGCCAAACTAAGCTACATAAGCGAAGGAGAAATGAAATACATTACAGACAAGCAAATGCTGACAGATTTTGCCACCACCAGGCTTGCCCTAAAAAAGCTCCTGAAGGAAGCACTAAACATGGAAAGGAACAACCGGTACCAGCCACTGCAAAATCATGCCAAAAATGTAAAGACCATCGAGACTAGGAAGAAACTGCATCAACTAACGAGCAAAATAACCAGCTAACATCATAATGACAGGATCAAATTCACACATAACAATATTAGCTTTAAATGTAAATGGACTAAATGCTCCAATTAAAAGACACAGACTGGCAAATTGGATAAAGAGTCAAGACCCATCAGTGTGCTGTATTCAGGAAACTCATCTCACGTGCAGAGACACACATAGGCTCAAAATAAAAGGATGGAGGAAGATCTACCAAGCAAATGGAAAACAAAAAAAGGCAGGGGTTGCAATCCTAGTCTCTGGTAAAACAGACTTTAAACCAACAAAGATAAAAAGAGACAAAGAAGGCCATTACATAATGGTAAAGGGATCAATTCAACAAGAAGAGCTAACTATCCTAAAAATACATGCACCCAATACAGGAGCACCCAGATTCATAAAGCAAGTCCTGAGTGATCCACAAAGAGACTTAGACTCCCACACATTAACAATGGGAGACTTTAACACCCCACTGTCAACATTAGACAGATCAACAAGACAGAAAGTCAACAAGGATACCCAGGAATTGAACTCAGCTCTGCACCAAGCAGACCTAATAGACATCTACAGAACTCTCCAACCCAAATCAACAGAATATACATTTTTTTCAGCACCACACCACACCTATTACAAAATTGACCACATACTTGGAAGTAAAGCTCTCCTCAGCAAATGTAAAAGAACAGAAATTATAACAAACTATCTCTCAGACCACAGTGCAATCAAACTAGAACTCAGGATTAAGAATCTCACTCAAACCACTCAACTACATGGAAACTGAACAACCTGCTCCTGAATGACTACTGGGTACATAACGAAATGAAGGCAGAAAGAAACATGTTCTTTGAAACCAACGAGAACAAAGACACAACATATCAGAATCTCTGGGCCGCATTCAAAGCAGTGTGTAGAGGGAAATCTATAGCACTAAACGCCCACAAGAGAAAGCAGGAAATGTCCAAAACTGACACCCTAATATCACAATTAAAAGAACTAGAAAAGCAAGAGCAAACACATTCAAAAGCTAGCAGAAGGCAAGAAATAACTAAAATCAGAGCAGAACTGAAGGAAATAGAGACACAAAAAACCCTTCAAAAATTAATGAATCCAGGAGCTGGTTTTTTGAAAAGATCAACAAAATTGATAGACCGCAAGCAAGACTAATAAAGAAAAAAAGAGAGAAGATTCAAATAGACGCAATAAAAAATGATAAAGGGGATATCACCACTGATCTCACAGAAATACAAACTACCATCAGAGAATACTACAAACACCTCTACGCAAATAAACTAGAAAATCTAGAAGAAATGGATAAATTCCTCAACACATAGACCCTCCCAAGACTAAACCAGGAAGAAGTTGAATCTCTGAATAGAACAATAACAGGCTCTGAAATTCTGGCAATAATCAATAGCTTACCAACCAAAAAGAGTCCAGTACCAGATGGATTCACAGCCGAATTCTACCAGAGGTACAAGGAGGAACTGGTACCATTCCTTCTGAAACTATTCCAATCAACAGAAAAAGAGGGAATCCTCCCTAACTCATTTTATGAGTCCAGCATCATTCTGATACCAAAGCCAGGCAGAGACACAACAAAAAAAGAGAATTTTAGACCAATATCCTTGATGAACATTGATGCAAAAATCCTCAATAAAATACAGGCAAAACGAATCCAGCAGCACATCCAAAAGCTTATCCACCATGATCAAGTGGGCTTCATCCCTGGGATGCAAGGCTGCTTCAATATATGCAAATCAATGAATGTAATCCAGCATATAAACAGAGCCAAAGACAAAAACCACATGATTATATCAATAGATGCAGAAAAGGCCTTTGACAAAATTCAACAACCTTCATGCTAAGAATTCTCAATAAATTAGGTATTGATGGGACGTATTTCAAAATAATAAGAGCTATCTATGACAAACCCACAGCCA
Source organism: Homo sapiens (assembly GCF_000001405.40). Lineage (NCBI taxonomy): Eukaryota > Metazoa > Chordata > Mammalia > Primates > Hominidae > Homo > Homo sapiens. Next base: position 30,946,238 of record NC_000020.11, on the reverse strand, counting down.
ATATCATACTGAATGGGCAAAAACTGGAAGCATTCCCTTTGAAAACTGGCACAAACAGGGATGCCCTCTCTCACCACTCCTATTCAACATAGTGTTGGAACTTCTGGCCAGGGCAATTAGGCAGGAGAAGGAAATAAAGGGTATTCAATTAGGAAAAGAAGAAGTCAAATTGTCCCTGTTTGCAGATGACATGATCGTATATCTAGAAAACCCCATTGTCTCAGCCCAAAGTCTCCTTAAGCTGATGAGCAACTTCAGCAAAATCTCAGGATACAAAATCAATGTACAAAAATCACAAGCATTCTTATACACCAACAACAGACAAACAGAGAGCAAAATCATGAGTGAACTCACATTCACAATTGCTTCAAAGGGAATAAAATACCTAGGAATCCAACTTACAATGGATGTGAAGGACCTCTTCAAGGAGAAGTACAAAAAACTGCTCAAGGAAATAAAAGAGGATACAAACAAATGGAAGAACATTCCATGCTCATGGGTAGGAAGAATCAATAATGTGAAAATGACCATACTGCCCAAGGTAATTTACAGATTCAATGCCATCCCCAACAAGCTACCAATGCCTTTCTTCACAGAATTGGAAAAAACTACTTTAAAGTTCATATGGAACCAAAAGAGAGCCCACATCGCCAAGTCACTCCTAAGCCAAAAGAACAAAGCTGGAGGCATCACACTACCTGACTTCAAACTATACTACAAGGCTACGGTAACCAAAACAGCATGGTACTGGTACCGAAACAGAGATATAGATCAATGGAACAGAACAGAGCCCTCAGAAATAATGCCACATATCTACAACTATCTGATCTTTGACAAACCTGAGAAAAACAAGCAATGGGGAAAGGATTCCCTATTTAATAAATGGTGCTGGGAAAACTGGCTAGCCATATGTAGAAAGCTGAAACTGGATCCCTTCCTTACATCTTATACAAAAATCAATTCAAGATGGATTAAAGACTTAAACGTTAGACCTAAAACCATAAAAACCCTAGAAGCAACCCTAGGCATTACCATTCAGGACATAGGCATGGGCAAGGACTTCATGTCTAAAACACCAAAAACAATGGCAACAAAAGCCAAAATTGACAAATGAGATCTAATTAAACTAAAGAGCCTCTGCACAGCAAAAGAAACTACCATCAGAGTGAACAGGAAACCTACAAAATGGGAGAAAATTTTTGCAACCTACTCATCTGACAAAAGGCTAATATCCAGAATCTACAATGAACTCAAACAAATTTACAAGAAAAAAACAAACAACCCCATCAAAAAGTGGGTGTAGGACGTGAACAGACACTTCTCAAAAGAAGACATTTGTGCAGCCAAAAAACACATGAAAAAATGCTCATCACCACTGGCCATCAGAGAAATGCAAATCAAAACCACAATGTGATACCATCTCACACCAGTTAGAATGGTGATCATTAAAAAGTCAGGAAACAACAGGTGCTGGAAAGGATGTGGAGAAATAGGAACACTTTTACATGGTTGGTGGGACTGCAAACTAGATCAACCATTGTGGAAGTCAGTGTTGCGATTCCTCCTGGATCTAGAACTGGAAATACCATTTGACCCAGCCATCCAATTACTGGGTATATACCCAAAGGACTATAAATCATGCTGCTATAAAGACACATGCACACGTATGTTTATTGCGGCATTATTCACAATAGCAAAGACTTGGAACCAACCCAAATGTCCAACAATGATAGACTGGATTAAGAAAATGTGGCACACATACACCATGGAATACTATGCAGCCATAAAAATTGTTGAGTTCTTGTCCTTTGTAGGGGTATGGATGAAATTGGAAATCATCATTCTCAGTAAACTATCACAAGAACAAAAAACCAAACACTGCATATTCTCACTTATAGGTGGGAATTGAACAATGAGAACACACGGACACAGGAATGGGAATATCACACTCTGGGGACTGTTGTGGGGTAGGGGGAGGGGGGAGGGATAGCTTTGGGAGATATACCTAATGCTAGATGACGAGTTAGTGGGTGCAGCGCACCAGCATGGCACATGTATACATATGTAACTAACCTGCACAATGTGCACATGTACCCTAAAACTTAAAATAAAAAAAAATAAAATAAAAAACATTCAAAAAAAATTCAACAACCCTTCGTGCTAAAACCTCTCAATAAATTAGGTATTAATGGGATGTATGTCAAAATAATAAGAGCTATCTGTGACAAACCCACAGCCAATATCATACTGAATGGACAAAAACTGGAAGCATTCCCTTTGAAAACTGGCACAAGACAGGGATGCCCTCTCTCACCACTCCTATTCAACATAGTGTTGGAAGTTCTGGCCAGGGCAATTAGGTATGAGAAGGAAATAAATGGTATTCAATTCGGAAAAGAGGAAGTCAAATTGTCCCTGTTTGCAGACAACATGATTGTATGTCTAAGAAACCCCATTGTCTCAGCCCAAAATCCCCTTAAGTTGATAAGCAACTTCAGCAAAGTCTCAGGATACAAAATCAATGTACAATAATCACAAACATTCTTATACACCAATAACAGACAAACAGAGAGCCAAATCATGAGTGAACTCCCATTCACAATTGCTTCAAAAAGAATAAAATACCTAGGAATCCAACTTACAAGGGATGTGAAGGACCTCTTCAAGGAGAACTACAAACCACTGCTCAAGGAAATAAAAGAGGAAACAAACAAAAGGAAGAACATTCCATGCTCATGGGTAGGAAGAATCAATATCGTGAAAATGGTCATACTGCCCAAGGTAATTTATAGATTCAATGCCATCCCCATCAAGCTACCAATGACTTTCTCTGCAGAATTGGAAAAAACTACTTGAAGTTCACATATAACCAAAAAAGAGCCCTCATTGCCAAGTCAACCCTAAGTCAAAAGAACAAAGCTGGAGGTATCACGCTACTGGACTTCAGACTATACTACAAGGCTACAGTCGCCAAAACAGCATGGTACTTGTACCAAAACAGAGATATAGATCCATGGAACAGAACAAAGCCTTCAGAAATAATGCTGCATATCTACAACTATCTGATCATTGACAAACCTGAGAAAAACAAGCAAAGAGGAAAGGATTCCCTATTTAATAAATGGTGCTGGGAAAACTGGCTAGCCATATGTAGAAAGCTAAAACTGGAACCCTTCCTTACACCTTATACAAAAATTAATTCAGGATAGATTAAACACCTAAATGTTAAACCTAAAACCATAGAAATTGCTTTTTGATGTGTGCATACAATTCACAGTGTTGAACCTTTCTTTTGATTGAGCAGTTTTGAAACAGTCTTTTTGTAGAATCTGCAAGTGGCTATTTGGAGCACTTTGTGGCCTTTGGGGGAAAAGGAAATATCTTCACATTAAAACTAGACAGAAGAATTCTGAGAAACTTCTTTGTGATGTTTGCATTCATCTCACACAGTTGAACATTTCTTTGATTGAGCAGGTTTTGAAACAATCCTTTTGTAGAATCTGCAATTGGATATTTGGGGCACTATGTGGCCTAAGGTGGAAAAGGAAATATCTTCACATAAAAAACTAGACAGAAGCATTCTGAGAAACTTCTTTACAATACATGCATTCAACTCACAGAATTGAACCTTTCATTTGATTGAGCAGTTTTCATACCCTCTTTTTCTAGAATCTGAAAGTGGCTATTTGCAGCACTTTGCGGCCTATAGTGGAAAAGGAAATATCTTCACATTAAAACTAGACAGAAGCATTCTGAGAAACTACTTTCTGATATGAGCATTCAACTTACAGAGTTGAACCTTTCCTTTTATTGAGCAGTTTGGAAACAGTCTTTTTGTAGTATCTGCAAATGGATATTTGGAGCGCTTTGAGGACTACAGTGTAAAAGGAAATACCTTCACAAAAAAAGTAGACAGAAGCATTCCGAGAAACTTCTTTGTAATGTGTGCATTCATCTCACAGATTTGAACCTTTTTTTTTATTGAGCAGTTTAGAAACACTCTTTTTATAGAAACTGCAAGTGGACATTTGGAGAGCTTTGTGGCCTAGAGTGGAAAAGGAAATATCTTCACATAAAAACTAGACAGAAGCATTCTGAGAAACTTCTTTGTGATGTGTGCATTCATCTAACGGAGTTGAAACTTTCTTTTGATTCAGCTCTTTTGCAACACTCTTTTTCTGGAATCTGCCAGTGGATATTTGGAACATATTGAGGCCTATGATGGAAAAGGAAATATCTTCACTTAAAAACAAGACACAAGCCTTCTGAGAAACTTCTTTGTGATGTGCACATTCATCTAATAGAGTTCAACCTTTCTTTTGATTGAGCAGTTTTGAAACTCTTTTTGCAGAATTGGCAAGTGGATATATACAGTGCTTTGAGTCCTATGGTGGAAAAGGAAATATCTTCACATAAAAGCTAGACAGAAGAATTCTGAGAAACTTCTTGGTGATGTGTGCATTCATCTCACAGAGTTCAAAATTTCTTTTGACTGAGCAGTTTTGAAACACTCTTTTTGTAGATTCTGCATGTGGATATTTGGAGCACTTTGCGGCCTATGGTGGAAAAGGAAATATCTTCACATAAAAACTATGCAGAAACTTGTGAGAAACTTCTTTGTGATGTGTGCATTCAACTCACAGAGTTGAAACTTTCTTTTGATTGAGGAGTTTTGAAACACTCTTTTTGTAGTATCTGCAAATGGATACTTGGAGCAGTTTGAGGCATAGAGGAAAAGGAAAAATCTTCACAAAAATACTAGACAGAAGTAATTTGAGAAACTTCTTTCTGATGTGTGCATTCACCTCACAGTGTTGAAACTTTCTTTTGATTGAGCAGTTATGAAACCCTCTTTTTGTAGAATCTGCAAGTGTATATTTGGAGCGCTTTGTGGCCTCTAGTGGAAAAGGAAATATCTTCTCTTAAAAAATAGACAGAAGCATTCTGAGAAACTTCTTTGTGATGTGTGTATTCATCTCACAGAGTTGAATATTTCTTTTGATTGAGCAGTTTTGAAAAACTCTTTTTGTATAATCTGCTAGTGGATATTTGGAGCACCTTGAGGCCTATGGTGGAAAAGGAAATATCTTCACATAAAAACGACACAGAAGCTCTCTGAGAAACTTCTTTGTGATGTTTGCATTCATCTCACAGTGTTGAACATGTCTTTTGATTGAGCAGTTTTGAAACACTCTCTTTGTAGAATCTGCAAGAGGATATTTGGAGCACTTTGCGGCCAATGGTGTAAAAGGAAATATCTTCACATAAAAACTAGACAGAAGGAAACTGAGAAACATGTTTGTGATGTGTGCATTCATCTTACAGAGTTGAATTTTTCTTTTTATTGAGCAGTTTTGAAACACTCTTTCTGTAGAATCTGCAAGTGGACATTTGGAGCGCTGTGTAGCCTGTGGTTTAAAAGGAAATATCTTCACATAAAAACAAGACAGAAGCATTCTGAGAAACTTCTTTGTCATGTGTGCATTCATCTCACAGAGTTGAAACTTTCTTTTGATTGAGCAGTTTTGAAACACTGTTTTTGTAGTATCTGCAAATGGATATTTGGAGCGGATTGAGGCCTATGGTGGAAAAGGACATATCTTCACATAAATACTACACAGAAGCATTCTGAAAAACTTATTTGTGATGTGTGCATTCAACTCACAGAGTTGAAACTTTCTTTTGATTGAGCAGTTTTGAATCACTCTTCTTGTAGAATCTGCAATTGGATATTTGGAATGCATTGAGGCCTATGGTGGAAAAGGAAATATCTTCACATAAAAATTGACAGAAGCATTCTGAGAAACTTCTTTCTGTTGTGTGCATTCATCTCACAGAGTTGAACCCTTCTTTTCATTGAGCAGTTTTGAAACAGTCCTTTTGTAGAATCTGCAAGTGGATGTTTGGAGTGCTTTGGGGCCTTATGGTGGAAAAGGAAATATCTTCACAAAAAAACTAACCAGGAGCATTCTGAGAAACTTCTTTATGTTGTTAGCATTCATTTCACAGAGTTGAAACTTTCTTTTAATTGAGCAGTGTTGAAACACACTTTTAGTGCAATCTGCAAGTGGTTATTTGGAGTACTTTTAGGCCTATGGTGCAAAAGGAAATATCTTCATATAAAAACTAGACAGAAGCATTCTGAGAACCTTGTTTGTGATGGGTGAATTCAACTCACAACGTTTAATCTTTCTTTTGATTGAACAGTCTTTAAACACCCTTTTTGTAGAATCTGCAAGTGGGTATTTTACATCATTTGCGACCTTTATTGGAAAAGGAAATATCTTCACATAAATACTAGACAGAAGCATTCTGAAAAACTTCTTGGTGATGCGTGCATTCATCTCACAGAGTTGAAACTTTCTTTTAATTAAGCAGCTTTGAAACACACTTTTTGTAGGATCTGCAACTGGATATTTGGAGCGCTTTGAGGCCTATGGTGGAAAATTTAATGTCATCACATAAAAAGTAGACAGAAGCATTCTGAGAAACTTCTTTGTGATGTGTGCATTTGTCTCACAGTGTTGAAACTTTCTTTGGATTGAGCAGTTTTGAAACACTCTTTTTGTAGGATCTGCAAGTGGATATTTGGAGCGATTGGTGGCCTATGATGGAAACAGAAATATCTTCACATAAAAACTAGACAGAAGCATTCTGGGAAACTTCTCTTTGTTGTGTGCATTCATCTCACAGAGTTGAACCATTCTTTAGATTGAGCAGTTTTCAATCAGTCCTTTTGTAGAATCTGCAAAGGGATATTTCTGAGCCCTTTGTGGCCTCTAGGGAAACTAAAAGTAATTTCATATAAAAACTAGACAGAAAGTTTCTGAGAAACTTCTTTGTGATGTGTGCCTTCTTCTTACAGAGCTGAAACTTACTTTTGATTGAGCAGTTTGGAAACAGTTTTTTTGTAGAATCTGCAAATGGATATTTGGAGTGCTTTGCAGCCGCTGGTGGAAAAGGAAATATCTTCACATAAAAACTAGAGAGAAGCATTCTGAGAAACTTCTTTGAGATGTGTGCATTCAGCTCACAGAGTTGCACCTATCTTTTTATTGAGAAGTTTGGAAACTTTCTTTTTGTAGCATCTACAAATGTATATTTGGAGTGCTTAGAGGCCTATATTTGGAAAGGAAATATCTTCACATAAAATCTTGACAGAAGCATTCTGAGATACTTCGTGATGTTTGCATTCATCTGGGAGAGTTGAACTACTCTTTTTATTGAGCAGTTTGGAAACAGTCTTTTTGTAGTATCTGCATGTGGATATTTGGAGCGCTTTGCGGCCTATGGTGGAAAAGGAAATATCTTCACATAAAAACTAGATGGAAGCATTCTGAGAAACTTCTTTGTGATGTGTGCATTCATCTCAAAGTGTTGAAATTTCTTTTCATTAAACAGTTTTGAAACACTCTTTTTGTAGAATCTTCAAGTGGATATTACAGAGCTTTGTGGCCTAAAGTGGAAAAGGTAATATCTTCACATAAAACCTAGACAGAAGCATTCTGAGAAACTTCTTTGTGATGTGTGCATTCAACTCACCGAGTTAAACCTTTCTTTGGATTGAGCAGTTTTAAAACACACTTTTTGTAGAATCTGCAATGGATATTTGATCTCTTTGAGGCCTAAGGTGGAAAAGGAACTATCTTCACTTAAAAACTAGACAGAAGCATTCTGAGAAAATTCTTTGTGGTATGTGCATTCAACTCACAGAGTTGAACCTTTCTATTGATTCAGCAGTTTGGAAAAAGGCTTTTTGTAGAATCTGCAATTGGATTCTTGGAGTGCTATGAGGCCTATGGTGGAAAAGGAAATAACTTCACATAAAAACTACAGAGAAGCATTCTGAGAAACTTCTTTGTGATGTATGCATTAAACTCTCAGAGTTGAAACTTCCTTTTGATTGAGCAGTTTGGAAACAGTGTTTCTCTAGTATCTGCAAATGTATATTTGGAGTGCTTTGAGGCTCATGGTGGAAAAGGAAATATCTTCACATAAAAACTAGACAAGAGCACTCTGAGAAACTTCTTTGTGATATGTGCATTGACCTCACATAGTTAAACCTTTCTTTTCATTGAGCAGTTTTGATACCCTCTTTTTAGAGAATCTTCAAGTGCATATTTGGAGCACTTTGCGGCCTCTACTGGAAACGGAAATATCTTCACATAAAAACTAGACTGAAGCATTCTGAGAACCTTCTTTTTGATGGGTGCATTCATCTCACTGAGTTGAAGGTTTCTTTTGACTCAGCAATTTTGAAAAACTCTTTTTGTAGAATCTGCAATTGGATTTTTAGCGCTTTGAGGCCTACGTTCAAAGGAAATATCTTCACATAAAAACTACACAGAAGCATTCTGAGAAACTTCATTGTGATGTGTGCATTCCTATCACAGAATTGGACTTTTCTTTTGATTGAGAAGTTTTGAAACGCTCTTTTTGTAGAATCTTCAAGTGGATATTTGGAATGATTTGAGGCCTATGGTGGAAAAGGAAATACCTTAATATAAAAATTAGACAGAAGCTTTCTGAGAAACTTCTTTGTGATGTTTGCATTCATCTCACAGAGTTGAACCTTTGTTTTGATTCAGCAGTTTTGAAACACTCTTTTTGTACAATCTGCAAGTGGATATTTGGAGCCATTGGTGGCCTACGATGGAAAAGGAAATATCTTCACATAAAAACTAGACAGAAGCATTCTAAGAAACTTCTTTGTTAAGTGTGCATTCAACTCACAGAGTTGAACACCTGTTTTGTTTGAGCAGCTTGGGAATAGTCTTATTGTAGTATCTGCAATTCGATATTTGGAGTGCTTTAAGGCCTATGGTGGAAAAGGAAATATCTTCACATAAAAATTAGACAGAAGCATTCTGAGGAACTTCTTTGTGATGTGTGCATTACCTCAAAGAGTTGAACATTTCTTTTGATAGAGCAGTTTTGAAACACTCTTGTTGTAGTATCTGCAAGTGGATATTTTGGCACTTGGCAGCCTCTAGTGGAAAAGGAAATATCTCCACATAAAAACTAGACAGAAGCATTCTGAGAAACTTCTTTGTAATGTGTGCATTCACCTAACAGAGTTGAACCTTTCTTTTGATTCAGCAGTTTTGAAACACACTTTTTGTAGAATCTGCAAGTGGATATTTGGTGCACTTTGGGGCCTATGGTGGAAAAGAGAATATCTTCACATGAAAACTAGGCAGAAACAATCTGAGAGACTTCTTTGTGCTGTGTGCATTCAACTCACAGAGTTGAATCTTTCTTTTGTTTGAGCAGTTTTGAAACACTCTTTTTGTAGAATCTGAAATTGGATATTTGGAGCGCTTTGTGGACTCTAGTGGAAAAGGAAATATCTTCACATAAAAACTCAACAGAAGCATTCTGAGAAACTGCTTTGTGATGTGTGCATTCATCTCACAGTGTTGAGCCTTTGTTTTGATTGAGCATTTTTGAAATACTCTTTTTGTAGAATGTGCAAGTGGATATTTGTGTCGCTTTTAGCCCAATGTTGGAAAAGGAAATATCTCCACATAAAAACTGGACAGAAGCATTCTGAGAAACTTCTTTGTGATATGTGTATTGAACTCACAGACTTGAACGTTTCTTTTGATTGAGCAGTTTTGAAACAGTCTGTTTGTAGAATCTGCAATTGCATATATGGAGCGCTTTGGGGCCTAGAGTGGGAAAGGAAATATCTTCACATAAAAACTCGACAGAAGCATTCTGAGAAACTGCTTTGTGATGTGTGCATTCATCTCACAGTGTTGAGCCTTTGTTTTGATTGAGCATTTTTGAAATACTCTTTTTGTAGAATGTGCAAGTGGATATTTGTGTCGCTTTTAGCCCAATGTTGGAAAAGGAAATATCTCCACATAAAAACTGGACAGAAGCATTCTGAGAAACTTCTTTGTGATATGTGTATTGAACTCACAGACTTGAACGTTTCTTTTGATTGAGCAGTTTTGAAACAGTCTGTTTGTAGAATCTGCAATTGCATATATGGAGCGCTTTGGGGCCTAGAGTGGGAAAGGAAATATCTTCACATAAAAACTAGACAGAAGCATTCTGAGAAACTTCTTTGTGATGTGTGCATTCATCTCACCGAGTTCCAATTTTCTTTTGATTGACCAGTTTTGAAATACTCTTTTTGTAGAATCTGCAAGTGGGTATTTGGGGCGATTTGAGGCCTATGTTGGAAAAGGAAATATCTTCATATAAAAACTAGACAGAAGCATTCTTAGTGATGTGTGTATTCATCTGAGAGAGTTGAACCACACTTTTGATTGAGCAGTTTGGAAGCAGCCTTTTTGTCCTATCTGCATGTGGATATTTGGAGCACTTTGATGCCTATGGTGGAAAAGGAAATACCTTAACATAAAAATTAGACAGAGACATTCTGAGAAACTTCTTTGTGATGTTTGCATTCATCTCAGAGTTCAACCTTTCCTTTGATTGAGCAGTTTTGAAACACTCTTTTTGTAGAATCTGCAAGTGGATATTTGGAATGCTGTGAGGCCAATGGTGGAAAAGGAAGTATCTTCACATAACAACTGTGAAGCAGGTTTCCTAAAAACAGCCTTGTGATGTGTGCATTCATCTCACAGAGGTAAGCATTTCTTTTCTCTGATCAGTCTGGAAACTCTGTTCTTGTACAATCTGAAAAAGGGTATTTTTGATCACTTTGAGGCCTATGTTGACAAAGGAAATATCTTCACATACAAATTATAAGGAAAGTTTCTGAGATACTTCTTTGTGATATGTGCATTCATCTCACAGATTTGAACCTCTCTTTTGATTCAGCAGTTTGGAACCAGTATTTTTACAGAATCTGCAAATGGATATTTGTGAGCATTTTGAGGCCTATGCAGAAAAAGTAGTATCTTCACAGAAAACTATAAAGAAGTTTTCTGAGAAACTGTTTTGTGATGTCTGCATTCATCTCACAGAGGAAAACGATTCTTTTCTTTGATCATTTGGGAAACTCTGTTGTTTTAGAATCTGCTAAGGGGTATTTTTGAGTGCATAGAGCCCTATGGTGAAAAAGGAATTGTCTTCACATAAAAACTAGACAGAAGCATACTGAGAAACTTTTTGGTGATGTGTGCATTTATCTCACAGAATTGAAACTTTGTTTTGATTGAGCAGTTTGGAAAAGTCTTTTTGTGAAATCTGTAAAGGGATATTTCTGAGCGCTTTGAGGCCTATGGTGAAAGAGAAAATATCTTCACATAAAAACTAGACTAAAGAATTCTGACAAACTGCTTTGTGATGTATGCATTCATCTCACAGAGTTCAACAATTCTTTTGACTGAGCAGTTGGGAAACTGTCTTTTTGTAGAATCTGTAAAGGTATATTTATGAGTGCTTTGAGACCTATGGTGAAAAAGGAAATATATTCACATAAAAAGTATAAACAAGGTTTCTCAGAAACAGCTTTGTGATGTATGCATTCATCTCACAGAGGTAAACGTTTCTTTTCTCTGGTCAGTCTGGAAACTGTTCTTCTAGAGTCTTCAAAGGGATATTTGTGAGTACTTTGAGGCCTATGGTGAAAAAGAAAATATCTTCACATAAAAACTAGAGAGAAGTTTTCTGAGAAACCTCTTTGTGGTGTGCATACATCTCACAGAGTTGAAACTTTCTTTTGATTGAGCAATTTGGAAAAAGTATTTTTGTAGAATCTGTAAAGGGATATTTGTGAGCACTTTGAGGCCTATGGTGAAAAAGCAAGTATCTTCACATAAAAACGAGACAGAAGCATTCTGAGAAACTTCTTCGTGATGTGTGCATTCATCACACAGAGTTGAATCTTTGTTTTGATTGAGCCATTTGGAAACAGTCTTTTTGTAGAATCTGCAAATGGATATTTGGAGTGCTTTGAGGCCTATGGTGTAAAAGGAAATATATTCACATAAAAACCAGACTGAAGGATTCTGAGAAACTTCTTTGAGCTGTGTGCATTCATCTCACAGTATTCAATAATTCTTTTTATTGAGCAGTTTGGAAACAGTCTTTTTGTAGAATCTGCAAAGGGATATTTGTGAGGGCTTTGAGGCCTATGGTGAAAAAGGAAATATCTTCACAGAAAAACCATAAAGAAAGTTTCTGAGAAACTTCTTTTGGTGTGTGCATTCATCTCACAGAGTTGAAACATTCTTTGGATTGAGCAGTTTGCAAACAGTCTTTTTGTAGAATCTGCAGAGGGATATTTGTAGTGCTTTGAGGCCTATGGTGAATAAGGAATTATCTTCATATAAAAACTAGACAAAAGTTTTCCGAGAAACTTTTTGTGATGTGTGCATTTATCTCATAGAGTTTAACATTTCTTTTGATTGAGCAGTTTGGAAACAGTCTTTTTGTACAATCTGCAAAGGGATATTTAGAGCGCTTTGAGGACCATGGTGAAAAAGGAAATATCTTCACATAAAAACTAGAAAGAAGCATTCTGAGAAGCTGCTTTAAGATATGTGTATTCATCTCACAGAGGTAAACGTTTCTTTTCATTGAGCAGTTTGTAAACTCTGTTATTCTAGAGTCTGCAAAGGGATATTTTTGAGTGCTTTGAGACTCACGTTGAAGAAGGAACTATTTTCACATAAAAACTAGTGAGAAGCTTGCTAAGAAACTACTTTCTGATGTGTGCATTCATCTAACAGAGTTGAAACTTTCTTTTGATTGAGCACTTTGGAAACAGTCTTTTTGTAGATTCTGCAAAGGTATATTTGGGAGTGCATTGAGGCCTATGTTCAAAAAGGAAATATCTTCACATAAACACAAGAAGGAAGTCTTCTGAGAAGCTTCTTTGTGATGTGCACATTCGTCTCACAGGGTTGAACCATTTTGTTTATTGAGCAGTTTGGAAACAGTCTTTTTGTAGAATCTGCAAAGGGATATCTGGGAGTGCGTTGAGGCACATGGTGAAAAAGGAAATATCTTCACATTGAAAGTAGAAAGAAGTTTTCTGAGTAACTCCTTTGTGACGTGTGCATTCATCACACTCAAGTAAAAGTTTCTTCCCATTGAACAGTTAGTTTTATGTGAAGATATTTCTGTTTTCATGATAGACCTCAAACCGCCTACATATATCCCTTTGCAGATTCTACAAAAAGACTGTTTCCAACCTGCTCAAAGAAAGCTTCCACTCTGTGAGATGAATGCACACATCACAGAGAAGTTTCTCAGAAAGTTTCTGTCTAGTTTTTATTTGTTGATACTCTTTTTTTCACCATAGGCTTCAAACTGCTCATAAATAACCCTTTGCAGATTCTACAAAAAGAGTGTTTCCAAACTACTCAATCAAAAGAAAGGTTCAACTCTGTGAGGTGAATGCACACATCACAAAGAAGTTTCTCAGAAAGCTTCTGTCTAGTTTTTATTTGAAGATGTTTCCTTTTTCAATATAGGCCTCAAAGTGCTCACAAATGTCCCTTTACAGATTTTACAAAAAGACTGTTCCCAAACTGCTCAACTGAAATAAAGCTTCAACTCTTTGAGATGAATGCACACATCACAAAGTTTCTCAGAAAGCTTCCGTCCAGTTTTTATGTGAAGATATTTCCTTTTTTACCATAAGTCTCAAAGCATTCAAATTATCACTTTGCAGATTCTACAAAAAGACATTTTCCAACCTGCTCTATCTAAAGAAAGGTTCAACTCTGTGAGAAGAATGCACACATAAAAAAGAAGTTTCTCAGAATGCTTCTGTCTAGTTTTTATGTGAAGACATTTCCTTTTTCACCATAGGCCAAAAAGGGATCTCAAATATCCCTTTGTACATTCTACAAAGGACTGTTTCCAAACTGCTCAATCCAAAGACAGGTTCAACTCTTTGGGATGAATGCACACATCACAACGAAGTTTCTCAGAAACTTCTGTCTAGTTTTTGTGTGAAGATATTTCTTTTTTCACCATAGGCTTCAAAGGGCTCACAAATATTGCAAAGCAGATTCTACAAAAAGACTCTATCCAAACTGGTCAATGAAAAGAACACTTCAAATCTGTGAGACGAATGAGCACATCTCAAAGAATTTTCTCAGAAACCTTCTTTCTAGTTTTTATGTGAAGATATTTCCATTTTCATGATAGACCTGAAACCGCCTACATGTATCCCTTTGCAGATTCTACAAAAAGACTGTTTCCAAACTGCTCAATCAAAGAAAGTTTTTACTCTGTGAGATGGATGCACACATCACAGAGAAGTTTCTCAGAAAGTTTCTGTCTAGGTTTTATTTGTCGATACTCCCTTTTTCACTATAGGCTTCAAACTGCTCATAAATAACCCTTTTCAGATTCTACTAAAGGACTGTTTCCAAACTGGTCAATCAAATGAAACTTCAGCTGTGTGAGATGACTGCACACATCACAAAGAAGTTTCTCAGAACGTTTCTGACTAGTTTTTATGTGAAGATACTTCTTTTTCACCATAAGCCTCAAAGTGTTCACAAATTTTCCTTTGCAAATTCTACAAAAAGACTGCTTCCAAACTACTCAATCGAAAGAAAGGTTCAATTCTGTGTGATGAATGCACACATCACAAAGAAGTTTCTCAGAAGGCTTCTGTCTAGATTTTATTTGTGCAGATTTCCTTTTTCACAATAGGCCTCAAAAAGCTCACAAATATCCCTTTGCATATTCTACAAAAAGACTGTTTCCAAACTGCTCAATGAAAGAAAATTCAACTCTGTGAGATGAATGCATGCATCACAAAGTGATTTCTCAGAATGCTTCTGTCTAGTTTTTATATGAAGATATTTCCTTTTTCACCACATGCCTCACACCACTCAAAAACATCCCTTTGAAGATTCTCCAAAAAGACTGCTTCCAAACTACTCAATCAAAAGAAAGATTCAACTCTTTGAGATGCATACACCCATCACAAAGAAGTTTCCCAGAAAACATGAATCTAGTTTTTATGTGAAGATATTTACTTTTTCACCATAAGCCTCAAAACACTCCAAACATCCATTTGCAGATTCCACAAAAAGACTGTTTGCAAACTGTTCAATCAAAAGAAAGGTTCAACTCTGTGAGATGAAAGCACACATCAAAAAGAAGTTTCTTGGAAAGCTCTGTCTAGTTTTTATTTGAGGATATTTCCTATTTCACCACAGGACTCAAAGGAATCACAAATATCCCTTTGCAGATTCTACAAAAAGACTGTTTCCAAACTGCTCAATGAAAAGGAAGTTTCAACTATGTGAGGTGAATGCACACATAAAAAAGAAGTTTCTCAGAATGCTTCTGTCTAGTTTTTATGTGAAGGTATTACTTTTTCACCATAGGCCTCAAACCTCTCAGAAATATCCCTTTGCACATTGTATAAAGAGACTGTTTCCAGACTGCTCAATGAAAAGAAAGATTCATCTCTGGGAGATGAATGCACACATAAAAAACAAGTTTCTCAGAATGCTTCTGTATAGATTTTATGTGAAGATATTTTATTTTTCACCATAGGCCTTTAACTGCTCACAAATATCCCTCTGCAGATACTTCAAAAAGACTGTTTCCAAACTGCTCCAAGAAAAGAAAGGTTCAACTCTGTGAGATGAAGGCACACATCACAAGGAAGTGTCTCACAATAATTCTGTCTAGTTTTTATGTGAAGATAATTCTTTTTCACCATAGGCATCAAACAGCTCAGAAATATCCCTTTGCAGATTGTACAAAAAGACGGTTTCCAATCTGCTCAATCAAAAGAAAGGATCAGCTCTGTGATATGAATCCACACATCACAAAGAAGTTTCTCAGAAAGCTTCTTTTTAGTGTTGTTGTGAAGATATTTCCTTTTTCACCATAGGCCTAAAAGCACTGCAAATATCCATTTGTGGATTCTACAGAAAGACTGTTTCCAAACTACTCAATCAAAACAAAAGTTCACCTCTGTGAGATGAAAGCACACATCACAAAGCATTTTCTCAGAAATATTCTGTCTAATTTTTATGTGAAGATATTGCCTATTTCACCATAGGCTGTAAAGGGCTCAAAAATATCCGTTTGCATATTCAAAAAAAAGACTGTTTCCAAACTGCTCAAACAAAAGAAAGGTTCAACCCTGTGAGATGAATGCACACATCAGAAACAAGTTTCTCGGAATGCTTCTGTCTAGTTTTTATGTGAAGATATTTCTTTTTCACCATCAGCCTCAAACGGCTCAGAAATACCCTTTTGCAGATTTTACAAAAAGACTGTTTCCAAACTGCTCAAGCAAAAGAAAGATTCCACTCTGTGAGATGAATGCACACATCATAAAGAAGCTTCTCAGAAAGCTTCTGTTTTGTTTTTATTTGAAGATATTTCCTTTTTCACCATAGGCCTCAATGGGCTCAGAAATATCTCTTTGCAGATTCTACAAAAGGACTGTTTAGAAAACTGCTGAATCCAAAGAAAGATTCAACTCTGTGAGATGAATGCACACATCACAAAGAAGTTTCACAGAATGCATCTGTCTAGTTTTTATGTGAAGATATTTCTTTTTTCACTGTAGGCCTCAAAGCGCTCCAAATACCCATTTGCAGATTCTACAAAAAGAGTGTTTCCAAACTGCTCAATCAAAAGAAATGCTCAACTCTGTGACACAGAAGCACACATCACAAAGAGGTTTCTCAGAATGCTTCTGTCTAGTTTTTTTGTGAAGATATTTCCTATTTCACCTTGGGCCATATAGGGCTCAAAAATACTTTTTGCAGATTCTACAAAAAGACTGTTTCCACTCTGCTCAATCCAAAGGAAGTTTCAACTCTGTGAGATGAATGGACACATCACAAAAGTTTATCAGAATGCTTCTGTCTAGTTTTTATGTGAAGACATTTCTTTTTCACCCTAGGCTTCAATGGGCTCAGAAATATCCCTTTGCAGATTCTACAAAAGGACTGTTTCCAAACTGCTCGATCAAACAAAGGTTCAACACTATGAGATGAATGCACACATCACAGAGATGTTTCTCACAATGCTTCTGTCTATTTTTTATGTGAAGGTATTTCCTTTTTCACCATAGGCTTCAAAGCACTCCAAACATCCATTTGCTGATTCCACAAAAAGAGTTTCCAAGCCATTCAAAGAAAGGTTCAACTCTATGAGATGAATGCACACATAACAGAGATGTTTCTCACAATGCTTCTGTCTATTTATTATATGAAGGTATTTCCTTTTTCACCATAGGCCTCAAAGCCCTCCAAACATCCATTTGCTGATTCCACAAAAAGACTGTTTCCAAACTGCTCAATCAAAAGAAAGGTACAACTCTGTGAGTTCAAAGCACACATCACAAAGAAGTTTCTCAGAAAGCTTCTGTCTGGTTTTTCTGTGAGGTTATTTCCTGTTTCAGCATGGGCCATAAAGGGCTCAAAAATATTTTTTGCAGATTCCACAAAAAGACTGTTTCCAAATTGCTCAGTGAAAAGAAAGTTTCAACTCTGTGAGTTGAAAGCACGCATCACAAAGAAGTTTCTCAGAATGTATCTTTCTAGTTTTTTTGTGAAGATATTTCCTTTTTCACCATAGGCCTCAAAGTACTCAAAGTGTCCATTTGCAGATTCTACCAAAAGACTGTTTACAAACTGCTAAATCAAAAGAAAGTTTCAGCTCTGTGATATGAATGCACCCATCACAAAGAAGTTTCTCAGAAAGCTTCTGTTTAGTGTTTATCTGAAGATATTTCCTTTTTCACCATAGGCCTCAAAGTGCTCCCAATATGCATTTGCAGATTGTACAAAAAGACAGTTTACAAACGGCTCATCAAAAGAAAGTTTCAACTCTGTGAGATGAATGCACTCATTACAAAGTAGTTTCTCAGAAAGCTTATGTTCAGTTGTTATGGGAAGATATTTCCTTATTCACCATAGACCTAAAAATGCTCCAATTATGCATTTGCAGATTAGGCAAAAAGAGTGTTTCCGAAATGCTCAACTCTTTGAGATGAAAGCACTCATTGAAAAGAAGTTTCTCAGAAAGCTTCCGTCTAGCTTTATGTGAAGGTATTTCCTATATCACCAAAGGCCTCAATGGGCTCAGAAATATCCCTTTGGGGATTCTACAATAGGACTGTTTCCAAACTGCTCTAGAAAAAGAAAGCTTCAACTCTGTGAGATGAATGTACCCATCACAAAAAAGTTTCTCAAAATGTTTCCGTGTAGTTTTTATGTTAAGATATTTCCTACTTCACCATAGGCCTCAAAGGGTTCACAATTATCCCTTCGTAGATTTTACAAAAAGACTGTTTCCCAATCTTCAATCAAAGAAATGTTCAACTGTGTGAGATGGATGCAAACATCACAAAGAAGTTTCTCAGAATGCTTCCGTCTAATTTTTATGTGATGATATTTCCTTTTTTACCATAGGCCTCAAAGTGCTCCAAATATCCATTTGCAGATTCTACAAAAAGAGTGTTTCCAAACTGCTCAATCAAAAGAAAGGTTCAACTCTGTGAGATGGAAGCACACATCACAAAGGAGTTTCTTAGAAACCTTCTGTCTAGTTTTTATGGGAAGATATTTCATATTTCACCATAGGCCTCAATGGGCTCAGAAATATACCTTTGCAGATTCTACAAAAGGATTGTTTCCAAACTGCTCTATCCAAAGAAAGGTTCAACACTGTGAGATGAATTCACACATCACAAAGAAGTTTCTCAGAAAGCTTCTGTCTAGTTTTTATGTGAAGATATTTCCTTTTTCACCATAGGCCTCAAATCGCTCGCAAACATCCCTCTACAGATACTACAAAAAGACTGTTTCCAAAGTGTTCAATCAAAAGAAAGGTATAACTCTGTGTGATAAATGCACACATCACCAAGAAGTTTCTCAGAATGCTTCTATCTAGTTTTTATGTGAAGATATTTCCATTCTCACCAAGGCCTCAAAATGCTCCAAATATCCATTTGCAGATTCTACAAAAAGATGGTTTCCAAACTGTTCAATGAATAGAGAGGTTCAACTCTGTGAGATGAAAGCACACATCACAAAGAAGTTTCATAGAATGTTGCTTTCTAGTTTTTATGTGAAGATATTTCCTTTTTCACCATAGTCCTCAAAGTGCTCTAAATATCCATTTGCAGATTCTACAAAAAGTGTGTTTCCAAACTGCTCATTCAAAAGAAAGGTTCAACTCTGTGAGATGAAAGCACACATCACAAATAAGTTTCTCAGAAATCTTCTGACTAGTTTATATGTGAAGATATTTCCTAATTCACCACAGACCTCAATGGGCTCACAAATATCCCTTTGCATATTCTACAAAAGGACTGCTTTGAAACTGCTCAATCATAAGAAAGGTTCAACTCTGTGATATGAATGCATACATCACAAAGAAGTTTCTCAGAATGCTTCTGTGTAGTTTTTAGGTGAAGATATTTCCTTTTTCACCATAGGCCTCAAAGAGTTCCAAATATCCATTTGTGTATTCTACAAAAAGACTTTCCAAACTCCTCAATCAAAAGAGAGGTTCAACTCTGTGAGATGAAAGCACACTTGACAAAGAAGTTTCTCAGAATGCTTCTGTCTAGTTTTTATGTGAAGATATTTCCTATTTCACCTTAAGCCATAAAGGGCTCACAAATATCCCTCTGCAGATTCTAGAAAAGGACACTTTCCAAACTGCCCAATCAAAAGAAAGTTTCAACTCTGTTAGATGAATGCACACATCACAAACAAGTTTCTCAGAAATCTTCTGACTAGTTTATATGTGAAGATATTTCCTAATTCACCACAGGCCTCAATGGGCTCACAAATATCCCTTTGCATATTCTACAAAAGGACTGCTTTGAAACTGCTCAATCATAAGAAAGGTTCAACTCTGTGAAACGAATGCATACATCACAAAGAAGTTTCTCAGAATGCTTCTGTGTAGTTTTTAGGTGAAGATATTTCCTTTTTCACCATAGGCCTCAAAGCACTCTAAATATCCATTTGCATATTCTACAAAAAGACTGTTTCCAAACTCCTCAATCAAAAGAGAGGTTCAACTCTGTGATATGAATGCATACATCACAAAGAAGTTTCTCATAATGTTTCTGTCTAGTTTTTAGGTGAAGATATTTCCTTTTTCACCATAGGCCTCAAAGCGCTCCAAATATCCATTTGCATATTCTACAGAAAGACTGTTTCCAAACTCCTCAATCAAAAGAGAGGTTCCACTCTGTGAGATGAAAGCACACTTGACAAAGAAGTTTCTCAGAATGCTTCTGTCTAGTTTTTATATGAAGATATTTCCTATTTCACCTTAGGCCATAAAGGGCTCACACATATCCCTCTGCAGATTCTAGGAAAGGACTCTTTCCAAACTGCCCAATCAAAAGAAAGGTTCAACTCTGTTAGTCGAATGCACACATCACAAAGAAGTTTCTCAGAAAGCTTCTGTCCAGTTTTTAAGTGAAGATATTTCCCTTTTCACCATACCTATCAAAGCGCTCAAAATATCCCTTTGCAGATTCTCTGAAAAGACTGTTTCCAAACTTCTCAATCAAAAGAGTGGTTCAACTCTGTGAGATGAATGCACATATCACAAAGAACTTTCTCTGAAATCTTCTGTCTAGTTTTTATGTGAAGATATTTCCTTTTTCACCACAGGCCTAAAGCCACTCACAAATATCCCTTTGCAGATTTTACAAGAACAGAGTTTCCAGACTCATCAAAGAATAGAAACTTTTATCTCTCTGAGATGAGTGCACATCTTGCAAAACAGCTTCTCAGAAACATTCTTTATAGTTTTTATTGAAGATATTTCCTTTTTCACCATAGGCCTCATAGAGCTGACAAATATCCCTTTGCAGATTCTACAAAAAGTCTGTTTACAAACTGCTCAATCAAAAGAATGGTTCAACACTGTGAGATAAATGCACACATCACAAAGAGGTTTCTCAGAAATCTTCTATCCAGTTTTTATGTGAAGATATTTCCTTTCTCACCATAGGCTTCAAAGTGCTCATAAATATCCCTTTGCAGATTCTACAAATAGACAGTTTTCAAACTGCTCAGCCAAAAGACAGTTTCAACTCTGTGAGATGAATGCACACAGACAGGGAGGTTTCTCAGAGAGCTTCTGTCTATTTATTATGTGAAGGTATTTACTTTTTCACCAAAGGCCTCAAAGCGCTCACAAATATCTCCTTGCAGATTCTACAAGAACAGAGTATCCAAACTGATTAATCAAAAGAATGCTTCACATAAAATCCCTAGAAGAAAACCTAGGAAATACCATTCAGGGCATAGGCATGGGCAAGGACTTCATGTCTAAAACACCTAAAGCAATGGCAACAAAGCCACAATTGACAAATGGGATCTAATTAAACTAAGGAGCTTCTGCACAGCTAAAGAAACCACCATCAGAGTGAACAGTCATCCTACAGAATGGGAAAAAATTTTTGCAACCTACTCATCTGAGAAAGGTGAAGGTATTTACTTTTTCACCAAAGGCCTCAAAGCGCTCACAAATATCCCTCTTCAGATTCTACAAAAACACCATTTCCTAACATTTCAATCAAAAGAATGGTTTAACTCTTTGAGATGAATGCACACGTCACAAAGTAGTTTCTCAGAAAGCGTCTGTCTAGTTTTTATGTGAAGATATTTCCTTTTTCACCATAGGCCTGAAAGCACTCACAAATACCACTTTGCAGATTGTACAAGAACAGAGTTTCCAGACTCATCAAAGGAATGAAATGTTCAACTCAGTGAGATGAATGCACACATCACAAAGCAGTTTCTCAGAAACCTTCTTTATAGTTTTTATGTGAAGGTATTTCCTTTTTCACCATGGCCTCAAAGCACTCACAAATATCCCTTTGCAGATTGTACAACAACAGAATTTCCAAACTGCTCATAATTAGTTTTTAGGACCAACATGAGCATTTAGACACACTGCTTGTGGTGCAGCACACATGTATTATCCACACTGAAATTAGGAATTCAACTGAAGTTCATATGGAGCCGAAAATGTGAATATTTGGGGGACCTTGGAGATGATCTAGCTCACTTCATTTTGTAGAAAAGAAAACAGATTCAGGGAAAGGGCATGCATTGCCTAAGGTGATTCAACAGCTTTGGCACAGAAACACAACACATCTAAGGTGATTCATCAGGTTTGGAGCAGAAATGCAATACAATTTCTGTTCTTTTGCTTCTCAGATCCAGAATTTTTTCACAATACTGAACTACTTATGTTTCTGATTCCTTATTTTTTATTTCTAAATTATGCCAGTATTGTCTGACGAAGATCCTATTCTTTACCCTAAATATTTAAATTCATTACCACTATTGTCTCTTTATAAGTAAAATTACTAGTTGTTATTATAAATGATTATTCAATCACTTTTCATTTTTGGGGGGTTTAGTACAAATTTAGTAACAAGTAAACACTATTGGCCTTGGCAATCCAAGAGGAGCTCAAGTCCTCCAGGGCACATCAGGAAAAGGCTAAATGACAGCTGTGCTGGGAGTGGACAGAATACAGCTCTCATACAGACTATTGAGTATTTGATGTTCTTCAACAATTTCATTAATCTTCAGTATTTTTCCTCTTTGAAGTGAAAGTCTGCTATGACTTTCAACTTTCTTTTGAAATAATTATAGATTCACAGGAAGTTGCAAAAGGTACAGGGATGTCTTAGGTACTATTCACTAATTCCAGTGGTGACATCTCACATAGCCATAGAGCATTATCAAAACCTGGAAACTGACATAGGTACAATTCAGAAAGCTTACTCAGATCGCAACCGTTTTGCATGCATTCATTTTTGTACGTGTGTATGTGTGTGCGTGTGTTCTGTTCATTTTTGTGTGGTGTAGATCTCTGCAACTACCACTTCCAAAGTCAAGATGCAGAACTGTTGCCTCACCACCAGGCTCCAACTTGCGATCTTTGCTGACACTCTGACACGTTTTCCTCCACCCCTTCCCCTTGGCAACCCCATAGCCTGTTCTCAATCTTTACAATTTTATTTCAATAATTTATATAAATGTAATTGTACAAAATCGTATTTTTTAAGGGAAAAAACAAGTCACAGATAGTTTTGTTAGCACTGTAAAATAGTCTTTAACATTCATTTGTTTTATGTTCTATTTGTCTCAAAAAAATGTCCTTTGTTCTTTCCCATACTTTCTGATATCAGGATAGGAAATCAATACCAAACAAAACATTTCCATTCATTTTTTTCCACAGCTTGGTTTTCACTGTTGTTGCCTAACATTTATTGTTGCATTTACTCTTTCTCTCTGTTTTCCATCACATAAAAGTAACTTTGTGTTCTTTATCTCTTCTAAGAAAACTTGGTAATAAGCCTTTAATGTGACGCCTGGACCACCCTTGTTTTGATTTTGTGTTATGGGTATTCTTTTGTGTGATCGTTCTCATGGAGAGCCCTTGTGAAGCTGGGCTTTTCCAGTGGTTTGTCAAAATGGAAATAGATATTTAACAAACCAAACACAAAATGACCTTGCTCCAGGAATGCATCATTTCTGAGAAAACACTACCTCTTCCAACTAGAGATTGTGAATATTACTCATATTATCCTTTACTCCCTTTTATTAAAATTGTATTTTTTTTTTTTACACATTTGTATAACTCGGGTAATGAAATGTGAAACTAAGCGATTGCCTACCAATTACAATTGATGTTAATGATGCTACTGGGAGGCCACCCCTACAGTCGCTGCGCCGAGTTTAGGGACTTGCTAGCTTTGCTAAGTTACATGGGATTTCCTACGTACTAAACGGAGGTGGGGGACGGGTCCGAGGACGTGGCGGCGCCTCCCTGCCCTGACGTGGAAGCTACAGACCGGGCCCCAGGCACCGCGCGGCCGAGAGCCGGAGGCGGGCGCGCAATGGCGGACGACACCGCAGCATTCAGCGAGTCACCGCCAGGGGCACGCGAACCCCAGGACCGCGGCCACGAGCGCTGTCAGACGGGCCGCGTGGCGGGCTTCCGGCCCCGGACACAACCGCGACGCGCGCCGGGTAGACAGGGTCGGGCGGGCGAGGAGGACTGTGCCTCAGAGGGGTGTTGGGGAGGAGGGGCGCTGGAGCGGCTGTGGGCCGGTCGCCGGGCCGCCACCAGGGGCGGCGACGAACCGGGGCGACCGGGACGCCCTCCCCCACCCTCTCCGGACCCTTCCTACTTGCCTTCCTCCCCCCGCCCCCAACAAGCCCTCACTACCCACGACGCGCGACGACGACGGCACGGGACCTTCCACCCCTCCAGGGCCAACGAACCCTGCACCACGAGCTGCGTAAGGCACGAGGGAGGCCCCGAGGGAGGAACCCGGACCGCGGTGGTGGCCACGGGAACTCGGCCCCAGCCGGCTCTCTTCACTCTCTGTTTTCGCGGGTGGCAGCACTGCCCTCTCTCTCTTCCTCACAGCAGGGAGCCCCCCTTCCCCATGCCACCCAATGCGTGACCACACAGGGCCTGCGGGGGGAGGGAGAAGGGGCGGGCATGGCAGCAGAGGAGGGCAGACATCGCCGGTCTGCACTTGGGGGGACGGAGGGCCCCAGCAGGCCACGCCAGGGAACCCCCAGCCGTGCACCCCGAGGAACCCGGAGGCACCCCCAGGGACCAGCCTCCTTTCTCCTAGGCAAAGCACCTCCAAGTAAATCCACACACACACACAACCTGTCGGAGGCAGAACGGTAGCCCATCAGCGGCCGGCCGGCGCACGCCTCACCTGCCCAAGCCCACCGCGATCGCTCACACGGCCCGCGCGCACCAGCCAGAGGGGATCACGGGACCTGCGCTCGCCAGACCAGGCGGCGCCCTTCCCCGCGTGGCAGGGGCACTTCTCACTCAACCGCCTCGACCGCCACACCAACGAGCTCCCTCAGGACCCACTCCCAGACAACACGGCGGCGACCAGAGGAGGGGGCGCTGGGGGTGGGAACCACACACCACAGCTGGACTTCGGGCACCTGAGTGATAAGCTGTTGGGGGAACGGGTGGAGCCGGGTGCGGTAGGCTCACGCCTGTCATCCCCGCACTTTGGGAAGCGAGGGAAGGTGGATCCCTGGATCCAAGCCTTGGCAACATGGTGAAACCTCGTCTCTAAAAAAATACAAAAACTAACTGGTTTCACAACCTGGACTCAAAGTTAATAAATAGATAAATAGGCCGGGCGTGGTGGCTCACGCCTGTCATCCCAGCACTTTGGGCGGGATCCGAGGTGGGCGGATCACGGGGGTCAGGAGATCGAGACCATCCTGGCTACCACAGTGAAACCCCGTCTCTACTCAAAATACAAAAGATTAGCCAGGCGCGGTGGCGGGCGCCTGTAGTCCCAGCTACTTGGGAGGCTGAGACAGGAGAATGGCGTGAACCCGGGAGGCAGAGCTTGCAGTGAGCCGACATCACGCCACAGCACTCCAGTCTGGGCAACAGAGCGAGACTCTGTCTCAAAAAAATAATAATAATAATAAAGAGATCAAAATTGAAAATTTAAAAAAAAAAAAAAACGTAACTGGCCGGGCGCAATGGCTCACGCCTGTCATCCCAGCACTTTGGGAGGCCGAGGTGGGCAGATCACCTGAGGTGGCCAGTTCGAGACCCTCCTGACCCACATGGAGAAATGCCGTCTCTACTAACAATACAAAATCAGCCGGGTGTGGTGGCCCATGCCTGTAATCCCAGCTACTTAGGAGGCTGAGGCAGGAGAATCTCTTCAGCACGGGAGGTGGAGGTTGCAGTGAGCCGAGATGGTGCCATTGCACTCCAGCTTGGGCAACAAGAGTGAAATTCCGTCCCCCACCAAAAAAAAAAAAAATTAAGCGCAGTATTCTGTTATTTTTGCTTCCTACCCTGAGAAGAACATAATACAGCTGTTGTCTGTCTGCCTGCCTGCCTGTGACAGGGCCTCACTCTGTCTTTCCCCCAGACTGGAGTGCAGTGACACCATTATGGCTCACTCACTGCAGCCTCAACCTCCACAGGGTTCGGCGATTCCTCAAGGGATCCTACAGCCTCAGCCTCCCAAAGTGTTGGGGTTACAGGCGTGAGCCACCAGCACCAGGCCTGAGTTAATATATCTGGTCTCACTACGTCTTAACGACACACCCATGAAGAACTCAAGTCAAGAGAGAGTCGGTAAGAGACTCAGCATTCTCTCCCGAAAGCAGTGAGGTGGATGGCGGCTTGTGTCCCGAGCTCCTGTGGTTTCAGTTGGCCGCGCGTAGAGGAGAGATTTCCAATGTTTCCAGAGAGGTCCGAGCCACAGTCATTCGGGGCATCCGAGGACGAGATGGGGTTTCTGACAGCGACTTAAGTGCCAGGAAGGGTCAGAATCTGCCAAGGCCCGTGTCCCAGGGTGGGGCCGAAGGAACCCAAGGTAGAGGGAGTCAGCGGTCCGCACAGAGAGAGCTCCAGCCCTAGGCCCCACTGTGCAGACCCAATCAGAAGAAGAGAGTCCTTCATCCTATATGCCACATCCCTCCACTGAACTTGGGAGCGGATCCGTTTTCCAAACATGAGGTGACTCTCGCTTTGCGATGGATCACAGGGGGCCGGGCTTTCCACAGTTGGCAGGGTAAAGAAGTCATTCTGGCTCGGCCTCCCCCATCCCCTGGTAACTGGTGAGTTTAAATGAGCTGAGGCTGGCTTTGCCGGAGCCGCTACCGGGGGGAGGGGTGTGGGCGGGGTGGGGGGCTGCCCGCGGCACTGCAGAAAGTGGGCCTGAGCCTCGAGGATGATGGTGCTACAG
The DNA here is from genome assembly GCF_000001405.40 of Homo sapiens. Classification (NCBI taxonomy): domain Eukaryota; kingdom Metazoa; phylum Chordata; class Mammalia; order Primates; family Hominidae; genus Homo; species Homo sapiens. The sequence continues at coordinate 30,919,567 of NC_000020.11, read as the reverse complement.
GAACCCGTCCAGGCTGCTACATGGCAAGCACTAAACCACTATGCTTACCGAGATGGGGTTTTCCTCGCAGAACGCCTTTATGCAGAAGTACACTCAGAAGAAGCCTTGTTTTTACTGGCGACCTGTTCTTACCGCCCAGGAAAGACCTATAAAGCATATAGACTCTTGAAAGGACACAGTTGTCCTACACCACAATGCAAATACCTGCTTGCAAAATGTTGTTTTGATGTCAGCAAGCTTGCAGAAGGGGAACAAATCTTATCTGGTGGAGTGTTTCATAAGCAGAAAAGCCATGATGATATTGTTACTGAGTTTGGTGATTCAGCTTGCTTTCCCCTTCCATTGTTGGGACATGTATATTGCAAGACAGATCGGCTTGCCAAAGGATCAGAATGCTACCAAAAGAGCCTTAGTTTAAATCCTTTCCTCTGGTATCCCTTTGAATCATTATGTGAAATAGGTGAAAAGCCAGATCCTGACCAAACATTTAAATTCGCATCTTCACAGAACTTTAGAAACTGTCTGCCCAACTCTTGCAAAGCACAAGTACCTAATCATAGTTTATGTCACAGACAGCCTGAGACCATTCTTACAGAAACACCCCAGAACACAACTGAATTAAACAGATTGAATTTAGAATCTGCCAATTCAAAGTACTCCTTGAATACAGATTCCCCAGTGTCTTCTATTGATTCAGCTGTAATTTCATCTGATACTGTCCCACTGGGAACAGGAACTTCCATATTATCTAAACAGGTTCAAAATAAACCAAAAACTGATCGAAGTTTATTAGGAGGACCAGCATCTCTTAGTCCATTAACCCCAAGTTTTGGGATTTTGCCATTAGAAACCCCAAGTCCTGGAGTTGGATCCTATTTACAAAACTACACTAATACAGCTTCTGTAATGGATGTGACATCCACTGGAGTCCCTCCAAAAAAGTCTGTTGCCAGAATAGTCCAAATTGGAGCAAAGTCTGTCTTCTCACAGAGTGGAAATAGCCAAGAGGTAACTCCAATTCTTGCACAAACAGAAAGTTCTGGTCCATAAATAAGTACAACACCTCAGGTATTGAGCCCCACTATGACATCTCCCTCAAATGCACTGCATCGAAGAAGTTCACGACTCTTGACTAGTGACAGTTCCACAACCAAGGAGAATAGGAAGAAATTAAAAATACAGTTTCCACCTAAAATCCCAAACAGAAAAACAAAAAGTAAAACTAATAAAGGAGGAATAACTAAACCTAATATAAATGACAGCCTGGAAATAACAAAATTGTACTCTTCCATCATTTCAGAAGGGAAAATATCCACAATCACACCTCAGATTCAGGCTTTTAATCTACAAAAAGCAGCAGCAGAAGGCTTGATGAGCCTTCTTCGTGAAAGGGGGAAAGGTTATTTAGCTTTGTGTTCATACCACTGCAAAGAAGCTATAAATATTTTGAGCCATTTACCTTCTCACCACTACAATACTGGTTGGGTACTGTGCCAAATTGGAAGGGCCTATTTTGAACTTTCAGAGTACATGCAAGCTGAAAGACTATTCTCAGAGGTTAGAAGGATTGAGAATCATAGAGTGGAAGGCATGGAAATCTACTCTACAACACTTTGGCATCTTCAAAAAGATGTTGCTCTTTCATTTCTGTCAAAAGACTTAACAGACATGGATAAAATTTCGCCAGAGGTCTGGTGTGCTGCAGGGGACTGTTTCACTCTGCAACGGGAACACGATATTGCAATTAAATTCTTTCAGAGAGCTATCCAAGTGGATCCAAATTATGCTTATGTCTATACTCTATTAGGGCATGAGTTTGTCTTAACTGAAGAATTGGACAAAGCATTAGCTAGTTTTTGAAATGTTATCAGAGTCAATCCTAGATATTATAATGCACGGTAAGTGGTAATGAAGTGTAAAGACAAAGTCTTGTTGATGGTGCTGGTAGTCACTAATTTTTCTTGTTAGATAGCTCTTTATTGTCATGAATTTGGCTACTAATACTTAGGGATGGTACATACTGGTCAATAACTTCAAACTAACACGCTTTCTTATGAAATGTATGTCTTTAACAAACTCTTAAGTTAACTAATGATAATAGAATACCAGATCCTCATACTCAAGAGTTTCAGTCTTCTACCAAACTTTTGCAGATGCTCTAGTTGTGTTTTGTTTGTTTGTTTGCTTGTTTAGTTTTGTTACTTGATTTGTTACTTTTTCTTCGAACACAGAAATGGTGATTGAGACAAAAAGTGCTTGGGAAATTGGAAAGGAATAGCATAATTCACTTATTGGATAACAGAAAAAAACACTGAAAAAATTCACTAGTTGCTGCTTTTTGACAGTGTTCTAGTTTATTGAGTTACTATTAAGAACTTAGTGTACCCTTTTATTTAGCAGTATCTCTGTTTTACTTTTTTGTACTTGTATATAAGTAGACACATAGGAAATTATGACCCAGGTCATATTGTTATCAACCGAATAACATATGAAAAAGTTTGATCCTACTTCTACCTCAACACCATACTTACTGTTGACATTTATTGTATTTTTCTGGACTGACTTAAAAGTTTAAATATCAAGAAAAGGCCAGGCACGGTGGCTCATGCCTGTCATCCCAGCACTTTGGGAGGCCGAGGTGGGCGGATCACAAGGTCAAGAGATCGATACCTTGCTGGCCAACATGGTGAAACCCCGTCTCTATTAAAAGTATCAAAATTAGCTGGGAATGGTGGCGGGCGCCAGTAGTCCCAGATACTCAGGAGGCTGAGGCAAGAAAATCGCTTGAACCCGGGAAGTGGAGGTTGCAGTGAGCCAAGATTATGCCATTGCACACCAGCCTGGGTGACAGAGCAAGAAGCCATCTCAAGAAAAAAATAAAATTAAATAAATAAATAAATAAATAAATAAATACATAAATAAATATCAAGAGAAAGTATAATTCTGACGTCATAACTCTGTGGAAGCTTTTTTGTCAGATACGGTTATCTTTGGGGTTAATTATTATAGCAGTTGAGTTTTAACACTTGATTTGCTTCTAAATCTGAAGCATTACATTACGAAAACATTTTTTGATTTGTGAATATGTTGTTTAAATGATTATATCTCATTTTGCAGTAGTAGTTGCAGTGCCTGAAAGATTGCCAAAAAAATAGTGCTAGCTTTTGCTGACAAATGTAACAATCAACTTACCAATACTGCCTTCTCTTCCGATAGCTATGTTCTCCGTAATATTTTAAGAACTCAGTTCTTCATAAGACTTGTGTTGTTTTTGATTTTTTCCCAAGTCTGATTGACCCTTGTGTTGTTCTTTTTTAAATGTGTATTGTCTGTTCAGCTATTCTGCAGGAGTCACATTCTTAAAAACTTTAACCATATCAAAAATTGTGTTTAAAGGAGGATTATTCAGATTGGCCAGCTTTTACTAGGAGGAGTTTAAATGCTGACGTATTTAGGTAACTCTAAATACTGAGCAAATTTATTCTAACTACAAAATAGATAGCCTTTCTTTTGTTTTTCACTTTCACTATCATTAGCACTGTGTTTAATATCTTTTCTTCATCTATAACACAATTATAACGATATATAAAGCCACTCAAATAAAGCAGATATATTGTGCTTTAAAAAAAAAATAAATAAATAACAGAAGTCATTATGTGGCACACAATGAGGTGTGACTTGAATCTAGAATCTCCAGTGAAAACCAATGAAACAGGGTCAAACCCCGTGTCTACTAAAAATAAAAAAATGAGCCAGGCTTGGTGGCGCTGAGGCAGGAGAATCGCTCGAACTCAGGAGGCAGAGGTTGCAGTGAGCTGAGATCACGCCACTGCACTCCAGCCGGGGCGGGGGACAGAGCAAGACTCCATCTCAGAAACAAACAAACACACGAAGCCAATAAATGTGTTTCACTCAACGTGTCAGGCTCAGGTCTCTTGACAGGATACATCCAGCACCCCGGGGAAACGTGGAGGGGTGGGGTGGAATCTGTTTTGTGGCCTCAAGGGAGGTTTTGAGAGATAGTCTCGCAAACATGACAGCCTAAGGAAGCCCCTCCGCCCAAGAAGCAATATTCATTTGTATCCTGTAGCCACCCACGAGGTAGAATCGTAGAATCGGGCTCTCTACAGACACCCCAACCCCCACCCCACCCCACCACCCCCGCCTCGTGAAATGAGCTCTCGCTCCGTCAGGCTGTATTCACGCCGTGTGGTTTTGTAACCTCCAGCGTGTGTGCGTGGGTTGCGGGGTGGGGTGGGGGCGGCTGTGGACAGAGAAGGGGATAAAGCGGCAGTGTCCCGCGGTTGCCCGGGACGTGGGACGTGAGTGGGGTGGCCAGAGCCTAGTTAACTCATTGCCTGTCAGGATGTCTCCCCTCCAGGTCCCCTCTCTGACCTACGTTCCACATCTTCGCAGTTCAGTGGGGACCTTGTGGGTGGAAGTCGCCATCCCTTTGTACTTTAGCCGATGAAGACCGGGCTCCCAAGAGTCTCCCCAGAGTCGAGGCCTTGGGCAGGCTCACAAGGATGCTGATGGCGAGCTTTGGTGATGGTGATGTAAGCTGGAAGACTCAGGCCAATGCAGAGGTATCCATTTGACCTCGGTGGGACAGGTCAGCTTTGTGGAGTCCCGTGCGTCCTTCCAGAGACTCATCCAGCGGTAGCAAGCATGGTCCCGAAGATCCCAGCTCCCAGCAGAGGCACTTTTGTTCACACAGAATCCTGGGCAGGAAAGTTCTCAGCAGGTTTAGACCTCCTAGCCAAAAAGTCAAAGCCACTTCTGGGATTTTTTTTCAAAGAGCCAATGGTTCCACAATGGGCCATGGGTAGTTGTGGAAATGGAGAGACGTGTTTGCAGATACATATTTGAGACAGAACGGACAGGGCTCGGTCACAGTTCATGTAGGACACGAGCAGATGCACATTGAGAAAACCTTCCCAGCATCCTAGGTGAACAGAGGTATGATTTTTTGAGACAGTCGAGGGAAACACAACCCCAGATTTTAGGGTTGGATCTTTATTAATATGTAATATCTATGAGGTATCCAAGTCCAGAAATAAACTCGCCAGCTCTGTACAGCATTCTGTAGGGAGATCAAATCTGGGATGTCTAAAGTTAAGAATTCAGGCTGTGGTAATGGATTAGATTAGAAGTACTTGAACTTATTTTGCAAAGAAAGAGAGGGTGGGAGATAGCGAGAGCCAGAGAGCGGGCGAGAGACACAGAGAGAGAGAGAGACAAAGACAGAGACAGAGAGAGACAGACAGAGAGATACAAAGATACACAAAGAGAGAAAGACAGAAAGAGAGAGAGAGACAGACAGATAAAGACACAGACAGAGAAAGACAGAGATGGACAGAGACAGAGAGAAACAGAAAGAGAGACAGAGACAGAAAGAGAGAGACAGAGAGAGACAGACAGACAGGCAGACAGTCAGAGAAAGAGAGTAAGACAGAAGGCAGACACACACACACACACAGAGACAGAGACAATGGACAGACAGAGAGAAAGAGAGAGACAGACAGAGAGAAAGAGACAGAGAAAGAGACAGACAGAGGGAGAGAGAGAAACAGAGACAGAGAGAGAGAGAAACAGACAAGGAGAGAGAGAGACAGACAGACAGGCAGAGAAAGACAGTAAGACAGAAGACACAGAGAGAGACAGGCAGAGAGAGACAGACAGAGAGACAGAGACAGAGAAACAGACAGGCAAAGAGAGAGAGAGAAAAAACAGACAGGGAGAGAGAGAGAGACCTACAGACAGACAGACAGGCAGAGAGAGAGACAGAGACAGCGAGACAGAGAAAGAGAGATACAGACAGACAGACAGACAAAGAGACAGACAGAGAAAGACAGATGGACAGAGAGAGACAGAGAGAAACAAAGAGAGAGAGACAGGCTGGCGGAGAAAGAGAGTAAGACAGAAGACAGACACAGTGAGAGAGACAGGCAGAGAGAGAGACACACAGAGACAGAGAGAAAGAGAGAAACAGAGAGACAGACAGAGAAAGACAGAGACAGACAGAGAGAGACAGAGACAGTGACAGAGAGAAAGAGACAGACAGACAGGGAGAGAGAGAGAGAGAGAGACAGACAGGCAGAGAGAGAGAGACAGACAGGCAGAGAAAGGGAGTAAGACAGAAGACAGACACAGTGAGAGAGACAGAGAGAGAAATAGACAGGCAGAGAGAGAGACAGAGAGAGAGAGAAGACAGAGAAAGAGAGACAGAGAGACAGAGAGAGGAGGAGGAAGGGCACGCTCAGGAAATAATTACACATATTTTATAACGCTTTTGATCCCATAAACGGTGGCCGGGGTGTGCTTTGAAAACAACAACAACAGCAACAAAAGCAGCAGCAGCAGCAAGAGCAGCAGCAGCATTTGCTTACGGATTTCTAGAACATGAGATGTTCTGAAGTCTAGTAAACATCAACCGGCTCTCACTATACGTTCAGAGATTCACAAAATCGTTAGTTAACTACAGGAGAAAACTGCAGCTAATATGTCTTGGGGAAAATATACTTCTTCCTGAAAACTGGGGATTTCTACTTCATCTAAAAAGAAATATATAAGAAAAAGGAAAAACACGAACGAAACAAAACAAGCCAACAAACACGGGCCAAGGCACTGTCCCTGGAAATCTTAAGTGAGCAAAGTATTAGTTTTCAGAAAGCGTTTCTATTTTGGGAAAATGCTAAGAAGGCCCAGACTAGAGCTGTGACTTCATTCCCATTGTGAAACTATGCTGGCCGGAGGGCGGAGAAACGAAAACATCATGATAAAAGGTGATTGAGACCCAGCCAGGGTGAAGCTTTCCTAGGGAGGGAGGCCTGAGGAGGGAAGCGGGGGAAAAAAACCACAACTGCAGACCCGCCCGCTTGCCCACGCGGGTCAAGGGCTATGCCATCGGCCCAAGCTGCCTCTGGGGAAGTGGGACCGTGCCACCCCATCTTAAAAAACCGTGGCCACTGAGTGAGGCCTGACGCCCACCGTTGCAAATGTCAGCCTGGTAAGAATAAGATCGCCGGCAAGGGGTGGGGGAAGGGGAGAGAAGACGGAGGCACACCTGGGTGGCTCCGGAAGGTTTCCAAGCAGGGTGTTGGGAGGCGGAGGGTGGGGGGTTTGGAGGGAACCCACCTAACTGACTCACTAAACGAAGGTAAAGGGACGTGGGTAGTGAGGGGAGCTGGGGGGCGACTTGAAAATTAAACTGACCCTTCCTAAAACCCAAGTAGAAGAGTCTATGCTCATGAAAGAAAACAACGCACAAAGAAAACTAAAGCGCTGATCAAAGAACAATAGGGCCCCCGCCAGCGGAGGTTCCCTAGGCAACGAGGGAGAGAGGGAGGGACCTCCAGAAGGGAGAGAGAGAAATCGGTTGCCCCAGGCTCTGTGAGGTCGGCGAGACCTCCCTCCGTGTCACCTCGACTTTCAATAACAGTGGCCGCTACGATGCCCGAAGACAACCGATGCCTGCAAGTGTCAGTCAGCACGAAAAATAATGTATTTATTTATTTATTTATTTATTTATTTATTTATTTATTTAGAGACAGAGTCTCACTCACTCTACAGCCCGGGCTGTAGTGCAGTGGCGCGATCTCGGCTCACTGCAGCCTCCGCCTCCCAGGTTCAAGCGATGCTCCCGCCTCAGCCTCCCGAGTAGCTGGCATTACAGGCGCCTGCCCCCCCACGCTCGACTCAATTTAGTATTTTTAGTAGAGATGAGGTTTCGCCGTGTTGGCAACGCTGGTCTCGAACTCCCAACCTCAGGTGATCCACCCGCCTCGGCCTCCCAAAGTGCTGGGATGACAGACGTGAGTCACTGCGCTCGGCCTTAACCGTGTATTTTTAAGTCGAGGAGCTAATCAGGGAAATATGAGAAGTAGGGACGCCACACATGACAGAGAGAAAAGTGTGAAAATGTCCCTTCCATCCAAGTGGGGACCCGGCCTCGACCTCCCGAAATCATACACCGAGTGGCGAAGCCTGTTAAGTCTCGTCTGTCTAGATTCCTCTGGGCCTCTCTAAGCAGGCGCTTCTCACTTTCGTGGAAGGGGCAGGGCCCTCCGCGGCACGGGGGGTCTGACAGACTGACAGAGAAAGAGACAGACATAGAAAGACGGAGATGGACAGAGAGAGACAGAGAGAAACAGACAGAAAGAAAGAGAGACAGAGACAGAGAGAGAGAGAAAAAGACAGACAGGGAGGGAGAGAGACAGAGAGAGAGAGAGATAGACAGAGACAGACAGAGAGAAACAAACAGAAAGAGAGAGAGAGACAAACAGAGAGAAACAGACAGACACACAGAGACAGACAGAGAGACAGAAACAGAAAGAGAGAGAGACGGAGAGAGTGAGAGAGAGAGAGAGAAACAGAAAGAGATGGAGAGAGAGACAGACAGGCAGAGAAAGAGATTAAGACTGAAGACAGACACAGTGAGAGAGACAGGCAGAGGGAGAGAGAGACAGATAGAGAGAAAGAAACAGAGAGACAGAGAAAAAGACAGACAGAGACTGACAGAGAGAAATAGCGTGAGAGAGAGACAGAGAGAGAGAGCGCGAGAGCAAGAGAGACAGAGTGAAAGAAACAGACAGGGAGGGAGAGAGACAGACAGAGAGACAGAGAGACAGACAGGCAGAGAAAGAGAGTAAGACAGAAGATAGGCACAGAGAGAGAGAGAGAAAGAGAGAGAGAGAAAGAAAGAGAGAGACAGTCTGGGCGTGGTGGCTCACTCCTGTCATCCCAGCACTTTGGGAGGCTGAGGCGGGCGGATCATGAGGTCAGAAGATCGAGACCATCCTGGCTAACACAGTGAAATCCCGTCTCTACTAAAAATACGAAAAATTAGCCAGGCGTGGTGGCGGGCGCCTATAGTCCCAGCTACTCGGGAGGCTGAGGCAGGAGAATGGCGTGAACCTGGGAGGTGGAGCTTGCAGTGAGCCAAGATGGCGCCACTGCACTCCAGCCTGGGCGACACAGTGAGACTCCATCTGAAAAAAAAAAAGAAAGAAAGAGAGAGAAAGACAGACAGAAGAAGAGACAGACAGAGACAGAGAGAAACAGACAGAAAGAGAGAGAGAGAAACAGAAAGGCAGGGAGGGAGAGAGAGAGAGAGACAGGCAGAGAAAGACAGTAAGACAGAAGACAGACACAGTGAGAGAGACAGGCAGAGAGAGACAGACAGAGGCAGAGAGAAAGAAAGAGAGAGACAGACAGACATGGAGAGAGAGAGACAGAGAGAAACAGACAGAAAGAGAGACAGACAGAGAGAGAGTGAGAGAGAGAGAGACAGAAAGGGAGGGAGAGGGACAGAGAGAGAGACAGACGGGTAGAAAAAGAGAGTAAGACAGAAGATAGGCACAGAGAGAGAGACAGAGAGAGAGAGAGCGAGAGAGACAGACAGAGAGACTCAGAAAAAGAAATAGAGACAGCGAGACAGAGGAAAACAGAGAGAGACAGAGAGAAACAGACACAGACAGAGAGAGACAGAGAGAAACAGACAGAAAGAGAGAAGGTCCTAGCCCAGTAGCGATACAGTGCCTTTTCTTTCATTTTATCTTTCTTTTCTGGTTTTCTTTTCTTTTTTTCTTTTCTTTTCTTTTCTTTTTTCTTTCTTTTCTTTTTCTTTTTTTTCTTTTCTTTTCTCCTTTCTTCTTTTCTTTTCTCTTTCTTTCTTTCTTTCTTTCTTTCTTTCTTTCTTTCTTTCTTTCTTTCATTTATTTATTTGGAGACCAAGTCTCACTCTGTCGACCAAGCTTAGTGCAGTGGCACCATCCCGGGTCACTGAAACCTCTGCCTGCCAGGTTCAAGCGATTCTTCCGCCTCAACCTCCCGAGTAGCTGGGATTACAGGTGCCTGCGCCACCGCGCCCGACTCAGTTTCGTATTTTCAGTAGAGATTGAAAATACGAAACTGAGTCGGTTTCACCATGTCGGCTACGCTGGTCTTGAACTCCTGACCTCGTGACCCACCCACCGCGGCCTCCCAAAGTGCTGGGATGACAGACATGAGCCACTGCGTTCAATGTACAGTGCCATTTCTTAGAAATAACTCATGGGAACACACACTTATAGGTCATGTGTAGAGATTTTATTTATTTATTTATTTATTTATTTATTTATTCATTTATTTATTTATCTATTTATTTGCACGGGAAGGTGGGGGGACGGAGTTTCGCTCTTGCTGCCCAGGCTAAAGTGCAATGGCATAGGGGACTCAAAGAGTCAACCTATGGCAGACAGGACACGTCATTCTGAGCATAAGGGCCGCAGCGAAAAGTGTCAGGGCCCGCGCTTTTAAAGGCTGAAATCCCGGCGGCTCAGGCCTGTCGTCCCAGCACTTTGGGAGGCCCAGGAGGGTGGATCACTTGAGGTCAGGAGTTCAATACCAACGTGGCCAACATGGAGAAACCCTGTCTCTACTAAAAATAGAAAAATTAGCCGGCTATCGTCGTGCGCGCCTGTAATCCCAGCTACCGAAGAGGAATCACTGGAACCCGAGAAGCAGAGGTTTCAGTGAGCCTAGAGAGCGCCACTGCACCGCAGCCTGGGTGAAAGAGCGAGAGATACTCTGTCCAAAAAAAAGAAAAGAAGAAAAAGAAAAGAACGGGCCCAAGTACTGCATTGTCGCTGAATGTTCCCCCAAAAGGCCAGAAATACCCTGACTCAGGTCAAGGAGGTGGTGTTTCGTTTCACTTCTCTCTCTCTCTTTCTCTCTTTCCCTCTCTCTCTCCCTTTCTCTCTCCTTCTCCCCTAACTTTCACTTCTTGTTCAAACATACATGTGCAAGATCGTTACATAGGTAAACTTCTGCCGGGGGTTTCAGTGTGCAGATGATTTCATCACCCGGACACTCAGCGCAGTACTCGACAGTTTTCATGTTTTGTTTTGTTTTGGTTTCTCCTGAAGCTGTCTCTCCTTCCACCCCTCCTTCCTCAAGTAGACTCCCGCGTCTCTCGTCCCCCTCGTTCTGCCCACGCAGAACTCTCATCTATAAGTTCCCACTTATGGATGAGAACACGCGGTATTTAGCTGATTGTTGCTTTCATCTTCGGTGGTGGCGGTGAAAGAGGCATGACACTAAATCGACCCTTAGGACGCTCCCCTCCGTCCCCACCACGCACCCCCTCCCCACACACACCCTCATTCCTGCACCCCCTCCTCAAACGCAGGAAAGGAAGAAAGACAGAAATTAAAGTAAGAGGTCAGCCTCCAAGGCGGTGGAGGCAGGGGATCTCAAAGGGTGAGCAAGCGATGGGGGTCGGGGGATGTCTTGGCTGAGCTTGCAACAATAGAGGACGAGTTTCCAGCCCCACCACATCCCCTAATCCTCAGCCGCAGCCAGCCTCTGGGTGGGGTTGCACCTGTAAAATCTTCTGAATGGAGAGAAGCCCAAGGCAATGGAAGGCATCAGCTCCAACTCCAGGAAGGGAATAGGACTTTGTGCATTTGAATGGGGCTTTAGAAGGCAGTGCTGCGGCCTCCAAAGCGATGCGCCTCGCCTCGCCTCGCCTCGAACAGAGCAAGACTCCCTCTCAAAATCAATCAATCAATATAAAAAATTCATCAATAAATAAGAAAGAAGAAAATAAAGAAAGAAAGAATAAAAGAAAGAAAGAAAGAAAGAAAGAAAGAAAGAAAGAAAGAAAGAAAGAAAGAAAGAAAGAAAGAGTACAGCCGTCGTGGTCGTGAATCATTTCCCGGAGTCAAGGCGCAGTGGCTCAAGCCCTTCACGCCAGCACTTTGAGACGCCGGGTCAGGAGGGTTGCAACAAAATGATGAGACCCTGTCTGTGGAAAAACATTTAAAAATGAAGGCCAGGGGCAGTGGCTCACGCCTGTCATCCCAGCACTTTGGGAGGCCGAGGAGGGAGGATCACCTGAGGTCGGGAGTTCGAGACCAGCCTGACCAACATGGAGAAGCCCCGTCTCTACTAACAATACAAAATCAGCCAGACGTGGTGGCGCATGCCTGCAATCCCAGCTACTCAGGAGGCTGACGCAAGAGAATCAATCGCATGAACCCGGGAGGCAGAGGTTGTGGTGGGCCAAGATCGCACCATTGCACTCCAGTCTGGGCAACAAGAGCGAAACTCTGTCTCGGGAAAAATAAATAAATAAATAAAAATGATCTGGGCACAATGGCGTGTGCCTGTGGTCCCAGGTACTCTACTCTGGAGGCTGATGTGGAAGGATCGCTTGAGTCCAGAAGCGTCCATGCTGCAGTAAGTGAGATATGATGGCACCACTGCCAGGGTGACAGAGTGAGACGCTGTCTCGAAATCTGTCAATCAATCAATCAATCAGATCACTGGAAGGCGCTGTCTGTGTCTTACTTTCAAAGGGTGTCCCTTTAGGCCAAGCAGGCATGGTGCCTCACACCAGTAATCCCGGCACTTTGGGAGGCCGAGGCGGGAGGAAAGAAGGAAGGGAGGAAGGGAGGAAAGAAGAAAGGCAGGAAGGCAGTGAGGCAGGAAAGAAAGAAAGAAAGAAAGAAAGAAAGAAAGAAAGAAAGAAAGAAAGAAAGAAAAGAAAAGAAAGAAAGAGACAGAAAGAAAGAAAGGGAGAAGAAGAGAGAAGAAAAAAGAAGAAAAGAGAAGAGAAGAAAAGAAAAAAGAAAAGAAAAGAAAGAAAACGGGGAAGGGCATATCTCCTTGACTGGTGACTGCCCAGGATACAGTGGGTAACAGCTGACTGAAGCCTCAACCTGTGGGGCCTCAAGTGATCTTCTCCTTATCTCAGCCTCACGAGTAGCTGCGACTACAGTCGGGTATCAGCACGCACAACTAATCTTATAATAATATTATGATTATTGAGAGAGTCTCGCTCTGTCTCAATAATTGCCATGGCATGATCTCAGCTCACTGCAACCTCAGCCTCCCTGCTTCAAGCAATTCGCCCGCCTCAGTTTCCTGAGTAGTTGTGATTACAAGCCTATGCCAACAGGCCTGGCTAATTGTTCTATTTTTCATAGAGATAGGGTTTTGCCATGTTGGCCAGCCTGGGCTTGAACTCCTGGCCTCAAGCGATCCACCCCCCTTGGCCTCCCAAAGTGTTGGAATGACACGCGTGAGCTACTGTGCCCGGCCCAGATAATCTTTTTAATAAATTGTAGAGAAGGGGTTTCGTCAGTCGCCGGGTGGAGGGTGTGGTGGGTTTTACTCAGACTGCATACTGTGAAAAGGGTAAATTAGTGTGGTTTGTGAACTAGATGTGGAAATTGTGTGTGTGTGTGTGTGTGTGTGTGTGTGTGTGTGAGAGAGAGAGAGAGAGACCAATCCCACCATGAGGACCCGGAAATGGGGTTTGATTTGGGTCCCTGTCTAGTCACCTCTCTGTCTGTAGATGACTGAGGATTCCACAAATGAAGGTCAGCAGTATCTATTGAGCTGTTTCTCCCTCTCATGAGTCTCATCTGTGTGGTGGAGAAAGGGAAGAAAAAAGGTTCTGATGGGAAGTTGTCTTCATGCCTGAGGAAGCTGAAGGCAGGCTGACGGGAAGGAGGGCATCCTATGTAACATTTCCATACCTGGGCACCCTTTACAATGCTGGGGCTGCCAGTCCACCCTGTACGTCAACCCACCCCCAAGAACAGCACGGTCTGGGGTGGTCCAGTCTCATCCCATCCATCCGGCCCACCCGGGGCATCTGGTGGAAGACTTCGCTGAAGGATTCGACACCTTGGAATACTATGCAGCCATAAAAAATGATGAGTTAATGTACTTTGTAGGGACATAGATGAAACTGGAAACAATCATTCTCAGCAAACTATCTCAAGGACAAAAAAAACAAACACTGCATGTTCTCACTCATAGGTGGAAACTGAACAATGAGAACACATGGACACAGGAAGGGGAACTTCACACACCAGGGACTGTTGTGGGGTTGGGGGAGGGATAGCATTAGGAGATATACCTAATGCTAAATGACGAGTTAATGGGTGCAGCACACCAACATGGAACATGTATACATATGTAACAAACCTGCACGTTGTGCACATGTACCCTAAATCTTAAACTATAATAATAATAAAATAAAACAAGAAAAAGAAGAAGAAAGCGTCAACGCGGCTCCCTTGGGGTCGCCGGGCGTAGGCCAACCGGAGGAGGGTGGCGGGATGTGAAGGGGGCGGGGCATCGGCCTCAGAGCTCCTTGGAAGGTGGCAGGCAGCCGGTGGGGGACGCTGAGCCAGAGATGTCTGGCAAGATATAGATCTGGAAGCCGCGTCAGTCCTCTCCCATATCTCTCCCACGGAAAATCCCACAGCGGCGGTGGGAGCCTTGGCTGGGGGAGAAGAGGGGACAAGGGGGAGAGGGAAGGAGGCCCTCGGGAGGATTTAGCACCAAAAACCCACCCAGCCAAGCTCCCTCCCTCCTATTGGGTCCAAGGTACACCCTGGGAGGCGGCAAGAGAAACGTTCACCCCCTGCTTCTTGTCTTTCTCTCTATTTTTTTCATCTTTTCAATTTTACAAGAGATGCTCATTTCAACAACCAGGCGGTTGATGTGACGGGAGAAGTGTCAAGTCCAGGAGTTTGAGACCAGCCCGAGCAACTGAGCAACACAAGTAAGAGAGCCCAGCTGAAAAAAATGAAAAAAAGAAGGAGGAGGAGGAGGAGGAAAGAAAAGAAAAAAAAAAAAGAAAGAAAAGAAAAGAAAAGAAAGAAAAGAAAAGAAGAGAAAAAAGTTAAAATTCTCCAATGGTGCAGGCACAAAAAAGAGTGATTTCACGTCTTTTCCCACAACATGGGTAGAGCTGGAAGCAAGTATGTACCCAGTGAACTGCCTTCTGCTTACAAGTGGGAGGTAAATAATGGGTACACGTACGGTCATCAAGATGGAAATAACAGACACTCCAAAAGGGAGGAGGAGGGTAAGAGGGGGACGAGGAATGAATAAATTGCCAGTCAGAGACAACGTTCGCCATGTGGGTAACGGATACACTGGAGGTCCACTTCTACATCCGGAAGCAGTAGTACGCTGATCTAACAAACAAGCACATACACCCCGAGTCTGTAAAATACCAAAACAATGACGACAGCACCAGCAGCAGCAGCAGCAACAGCAGCAGCAGCAACAACAACAACAACAGAACAGAAGCTGGAACACAAAACCACCACCACCACCACCACCACCACAATCACCAGTTGTGGGTTGGAGGAGGATGGCCGCGCTCGAGGCCCTCAGGCTCAGTCCCCTCGGGTTTAAAAAAGAAAACAGCAGACTCATTCCTGTCTGTAGACAGGAAAAATCCAATCAAAGTTCTCCGTTGCTAGAAAGGGAAGTAGAATAAGGAGAAGGGCTTATTGATCTTCTTGTGATCGATCGAGACCATACATGTAGGAAAAAATTAAATACAGACAGCAACAGTTTCTACACTGTTCAAAAGCATCGGAGATCAGGCCCACCACACACCATGGGGCTTGAGCCACTAGAAAGAAAAGGCAGGCCGGGCGCGGTGTCTCACGCTTGTCATCCCAGCTCTTTGGGAGGCCGAGGCGGGCAGATCACGAGGTCAGCAGATCGAGACCATCCTGGCTAACACGGTGAAACCCCGTCTCTACTAAAAATACAAAAAATTAGCCGGGCCTGGTGTGGGCGCCTGTAGTCCCAGCTACTCGGGAGGCTGAGGCATGAGGATGGCGTGAACCCGGGAGGCGGAGCTTCCAGTGAGCCGAGATAGCGCCACTGCACTCTGGCCTGGGAGAAAGAGCGAGACTCTGTCTCAAAAAAAAAAAAAAAATAGCCAGGCATAGTGCTGCATGCCTGTAGTCCCAGCTACTCAGGAGGCTGTGGTAGAACAATCACTTGACCCAGCAGTTTGAGGCTGCAGTGAACTATGATCATGCCACTGCACTCTGGCCTGGGTGACAGAGCGAAACCCCATCTCAAAACAAAGAACAACCAAAAACCTACAAGCATACTCAGAGATAGTGTGGGTTTGGTTCCAGACAACCACAATAAGGAAAATGTTACAATCAAGTTAGTCGCATACACATTTTGTTTCCCAGTGCTTATAAAAGTTATGCTTAAACTATGTTGTAGTCTAATGAGTATTTAATAATTATCAATTAATTAGTAATCACATTATGTCTAAAAATCTATGTACATACCTTAACTTAAAATACCTCATTGCTGAAAAATACTAATGAATATCTGAGCCTCATCAAGTCATAATCTTTTTGCTGGTGAGTGAAGGGGTGGCCTGCCCCTCCACACTTGCGGGTATTTCTAGTGAGGTGGGACCAGAGACAGAGAAAACAAGGAAGACACAGAGACAAAGTATAGAGAAGCAACAGTAGGCCCAGGGGACCGGCGCTCAGCATGCCAAGGACCTGCACCAGCACTGGCCTCTGAGTTCCCTTAGTTTTTATTGGTTATTATTTTCATTATTTCAGCAAAAAGGAATGTAGTAGGAGAGCAAGGTGATAATAAGGAGAAGGTCAGCAAAAAACATGTGAGCAAAATAATCTATGTCATAATTAAGTTCAGGGGAAGGTACTATGATTGGACGTGCACGTAAGCCAGATATGTTTCTCTCCACCCAAACATCTCAGTGGAGTAAAGAATAACAAAGCAGCATTACTGCAAACATGTCTGGCCTCCCACCATAGGGCGGTTTTCCTCCTATCTCAGAATTGAAGAAATGTACAATCAGGTTTTATACTGAGACATTCAGTTCCCAGGGGCAGGCAGTAGACAGTGGCCTTCCTCTATCTCAACAGCAAGAGGCTTTCCCCTTTTACTAATCCACCTCAGCACAGACTCTGAATGGGTGTCGGACTGGGGGACAGTCAGGTCTTTCTCATCCCACGAGGCCATATTTCAGACTATCATATGGGGAGAAACCTTGGACAATACCCCGCCTTCAAGGGCAGAGGTCCCTGCGGCTTTCTGCAGTGCATTATGCCCCTCGTTTATTGAGATTAGAGAATGGCAATGACTTTTACCAAGTATACTGCTTGTAAACATTTTGTTAACAAGGCACGTCCTGCACAGCCCTAGATCGCTTAAACCTTGATTTCATACAACACATGTTTTTGTGAGCTCCAGGTTGGGTCAAAGTGGCTGGGGCAAAGTGGCTGGTGCAAAGCTACAAATTAACAACATCTCAGCAAAGCAATTGTTTAAAGTACAAGTCTTTCAAAATGGAGTTTCTTATGTTTTTCCTTTCTATATAGACACAGTAACAGTCTGAGCTCTCTTTCTTTTATCTACAGTGAGGGTCTTGCCGCTATGTTGATGGCTGCTGACTGATCAGTGTGGGGGCTGCTGAAAGTTGGGTGCCTGTGTCAATTTCTTAAAACAATGAAGTTTGTTCCTTTCACAAAACATTTCCCTGTAGAATGTGATGCTGTTTGATAGCATTTTACCCACAGTAGAACTTCCTTCAAAATTGGAGTAAACCCTCTCAAACCCTGCTGCTGCTTTATCAACTAGGTTTATGGAATATTCTAAATCCTTTGTTGTTATTTCAACAAACTTCATTGCATCTCCACCTGGATTATATTCCATCTCAAGAAAATATTTTCTTTGCTCATCCATAAGAAGCAACTCCCCACTTGTTCAAGTTTCATCATGAGTTTACAGCAATTTATTCTCGTCTTAAAGCCCTAATTCTAATTCTGGTTGTCTTGCGATTTCTACCACATCTGTAGGGACTTCCTCCACTGACATCCTGAGCCCTCAAAGTCTTCCATGAGGGCTGGAATCAACTTCTTCCAAACTCCTGTTAATGTTGATATTTCAACCTCCTCCCATCAATCACAAATGTCCTTAATGGCATTTGCTATTAAGGACATTTGTGATTCACCGGAAGAGGTTGAAATATCATGAAGGTATTAATGGTGAAACCTTTCCAAAAGGTTTTCAATTCAGTTTATCCAGATTCATCAAAGAAATTACTATCTATGACAGCTATACCTTTATAAAATGCATTTATTATTTAATATAAACACTTGAAAAGTCAAAACCACTCCTTGATCCACAGGCTGAAGGATAGATATTGTATTAGCAGCCATGAAAATAACATTAATTTCCAAGTACATCTCCATCTAAGCTTCTGGGTAGCTAGGTGAATTGTCAATAAGCAGCAATCTTTTTTCTTTTTTTCTTTTCTTTCCTTTTTTTTCCTTTATGTAGTTTCCCTCTTGTTGCCCAGGCTGGAGGGCAGTGGCATGGCCTCGGCTCATTTCTACCTCCACCTCCAGGATTCAAGCCATTCTTCTGCGTCAGCCTCCCAAGTAGCTGAAATTACAGGTACAACCACCATGTCCGGCTAATTTTTTTGTATTTTTATAGGAGACAAGGTTTCATCATTTTTGCCAGGCTGGTCTCCAACTCCTGACCTCAGGCGATCCACCCACCTCGCCTCCCAAAGTGCAGGGATTACAGGTGTGAGCCACTGTGCCTGGCCAAGCAGCAATCCCTTTAAAGGAATCGTTTTTGTTTTTTCTTTTTTTGTTTTTTGTTTTTTTCTGAGCAGTAGGTCTCAATAGTGGGATTAAAATATTCAGTAAACCATGCTCTTAACAGATGTGTTGTCACTCAGATTGTGATGTTCCGTTTCTAGAGCACAGAAAGAATAGATTTTGCATGACTCTTAAGGGCCCTGAGATTTACAGAGTGGTCAATGATCATTGGCTGTAACTTAAAGTCACCAACTGCAGTGGTCCTCAAAGAGAGTCAGCCCATCCTTTGAAGTTTTGAAGCCAAGTGTTGACGTCTCTCTAGCGATGAAAATTTTACATCTTCAGTAAGCTTAATCATTTCTAGCTCTGGACTTAAAGTGAGAGACATGCAATTCTTCCTTTCATTTGAGCTCTTTGAGGCCACTGTGGTTACTAATTAACACCCCCGGTGGGTGTCATCTTCCTCCCTCCTCAATCGAGTTCACCCACACCAGGGCATGGGGAATGGGGCTTCCCGCACCCCACACGCCCTGCACGCCTGGGGCTCTCCCACATGGGGCTTTCATGAGCCAGGGAGCAAGGGCCTTCCCCCCGCTCCAGCCCAGCCAGGCTGCGCAGGCAGAAGGAATCTCTCAACCTGTCCCTGCATGCGGGGATTTTGTGTTCGCTGCCCTGGCTCCTCTGGAAGTAGGAGTGTCCCATCCTCAGACTCCTCAGTGGCCTCCGCACCCTAACAAATGCCAGGAGGAAGAGGACCCGCAGCACGGCGGCCTGGTGGGCGCGTGCTCAGTGGGACCGCTTGGGCCCCCTCAAGCTGAGTCACAGGGGCAAGGTGTGTTTGCGCCACCCACGTCCCACCAGAGTCCGCGGTGGGGCTTGAGCCCCAGGTTGCCAGGGCAGCGTGGGAAACCGAAGACCGAGCACCTCCCCCTCTGAAGCTCGCGACCCCGGAGGCCTCCTCGTCAAGCACATATGCAAGCCATCCAGGCACCTCCCAACCACTCCAGGAGCCGGGGCGCTCGTCTACACACACCCCCAGCCTGTTAGATGAGCTCCTGTCAACCCCAGAGTTTCAGCAAAAGGCACAGTCTTTCCTAGATCCGGCGCCACTGGGGAAGCTGAAGGACGTGGAAGAGCCCGCTCCGCTGGAAACACTCCTCAGCCAGGAAGAACACCGGGCTCTGCTGGAGGAGCTTTAGGACGCGGGTTTGGGGCAGGGTGGGGGCAGGGCGGCGGCCTCTCTTTCGCGGTGAACCTCTGACTCGGTATGGAGAGGCTTGTCTTCCCTTCCAGCTGACCTGCCTAGGATCCCTGAGTTCCAGGTCCCGTGAGAGACTCCACTCAGAGGAGGGCTATCATTCTTTCCTGAGCATTCCGGGGATCCCAGGGCCCGTCCAGGTACCGGGAGGCGGACTGTCTACTGCTCATGGGCGGGTTAGCAGGCAGTAGCCTAGGTTTTCTAACTAGTCTAGGCGGAGCTCTCATCCCTTCTCTCTTGCCCCCTGCCGCGTTCTTCAGTGGGGCGGGCGGGAAACACTGGCCCGGTCAGACGCCAGGCCTGCTCTTCTTTCCGCGTCTCGCCACCTCTGCCTCCCCGCCCCACCGTCACTCGCCTACCCTTGCCCCGCCAGCTTCCTCGGCATCGATGTGGAGCACCTGACAGCTAAATGCAGACCCGAGACCCCGTGCAAGCCAGGGTTCTGCCCTTTCTACGCGGGAGGGAACTCAGGCAGAGATGGGGAGAGGAACGGAGACAGAGAAGGAGGGAGCCATGGAGGGAGGAAAGAACGGATGGACCGTGGGACCTTGGAAAGGATGGAGGGATAGAAGGAGAGGGAGAGGGAAGGAGGGAGGGAGGGAGGAAGGGAGGAACTGAGGGAGGGAAGGAGGGAAAGAGGGAGCAAGAAACAGAGAGAGGAAGGCAGAGAGAAAAGTAGTCTTCTGCCTCCAGGACTAGCAGGATCTTGCACTCCGGGAAAATGTTGGGTGCCCAGTGCAGGCTAAGTGCTCGGCCCACAGCCGCGTCGGCCTGCGGCGCTCTCACCTGCCCTCCGGATCGCCAGCCTGGGTTACTTAATCCGGGAGCAATTCAGACGAATTTCGTCTCCCAAGGAATGAGCGAATTGTCCAGAGAGCAATGAGCCGAGACTCAGGCGATTGTCCAATTTTCATCCACATGGTTCACAGATGAGATAGCCCCAGGTTGAGCCTGCAACGGAGCGCGAGGTGGATAGTCCCGTCCACACAGGAGTCACACTCAGGCCGACTGAAGCGTGGTTTCGGGTTCCACGTTCCTTTGCCTTCTGCA
The DNA here is from genome assembly GCF_000001405.40 of Homo sapiens. Taxonomy (NCBI): domain Eukaryota; kingdom Metazoa; phylum Chordata; class Mammalia; order Primates; family Hominidae; genus Homo; species Homo sapiens. Next base: position 30,898,852 of record NC_000020.11, on the reverse strand, counting down.
AGGGGGCCTGTTGCTCATGCGTCTCTGGCCCGCGAAAGCGTGACCATGTTGATTGTTTCCCGAGCTCTGTGGGGACACAGAAACCTCCAGAGAAGCGTGGAAAAGCAGCATCGTGTCTTCGCTCTCCTTTCCAGTTTCCTGTTTGGAAACAGGCCATAGTGGAGACTCCCCATGTCGCAGGAAACAGGAATCCATCCTCAGGCTGTGATGCACCTGGCGTTTCTTTTCTCTGTAGTTTTGCTCTCGTTTTCTACATCAAAATGAACGAGATCCGTAAGGAATCAGAAAAGGAAGAATCAGAAATAGCACACAAGTCTTGACTACTGTTACATTCCACTTTCAAATCACTCTGAGGTGAAACAACAATTTTCCAAGATTTAAAGAAAAATAGATTTTATAAAAGGGATTCTTTTATTCACTCAATACATCATTTATGTTACTGACAGTAACAAGTGATATTTTTTCCCCTATAATTTGCTCTGATGAAATAAATAATTCTTTTAATTCCTAACAAATGCTACATTTTCAAGACTAAAGGAATTATCAGTAGGCATTCTTTCTTCTTGATCTAAGTTATTTGTCTCTAAAATATGTCAAGTAAGCTTTTAAAGATTCAGGGAGGGGCAGTTTCATGATTTTTTCTCTCAGTAAATTTTGAGGTGGCTCCTCTGGCTTCATCGCTTCACTGTGATCTTTTTCTTCCTCTTCTTTGTTATCTTCTTCCATTTCTTCATCCTCCTCACTGTCTAGAGGCTGAGGAATAAGCTGATTACCCACAAATACATAAGTGGTAATTCTCTGTTTAGCTCTCTTTCTTTTCCTTTTGGGTGGAGCCCTTTGAGGAATCCCCTTGGCCTGCATCTCATCATTTGTGAACTTTCTAAGTGTGCGTCGAATGTAAATAAGAGCCAAGTCCTGTAGATTCCTGACAGTGATTCCTTACAGATTTGTAGTGGTGAGGGTTAGATTTAATTTTATATACAGTTTAAATAATTGTTAAGCTTATGTAACCTGATCTGAATTTGCACTTCCTCTATGAAAACTTCATCTATCTAATAAGGAAATCAAATGTTTGTAGACCTGTTTACCTTACTTTCGTTGCAATCATTGTTGCTGGGTTGCTGTATATATATTCCGGGCAATATATGATTGCAATAACAATACAAAATATTGAATAATTTAGCTTTTAAAAATCCCACAAACTTTATGAAATTTTACAGCCCTGCTACTTTTGCTTTTGAATCTCTTGCCAAAATACATGAGTAAAATATCTGCTTCTCTCAGAGAGATTTTAAGAACACAGCAAGTGAATTATTAAAATAGGAAGTATGTACTTAACACAACTCTTTATATGGACCCTTTACATTTTCAGTATTTTTAAAAATGAGGTTACCTTAACTCTCTAGAATGTTAAAAGTATATTTAGAATTTTTTCTGTAGTTCACTGTATAAAGTATTTGTTTTTTTTAAAAAAGCAAAACCATTGTTATGTGTGACTCTTGATAGGCCACAGAACGAGTGAATGAGCATGGGTGAGGCCAATTTCTTAGATGGCTGTAAGTAGCAGGGCCATGGTAGACCTGGTCAGCCGATGCACTTTAGCAGATGGAACTTCTAGTTTATCTGAATATTTATCTTTGACAAGGTAGGGCTGAGCCTACGTTTGCTTTGGATCTTTCTAGTGCGAGAAATATTCACAGAAATTGTAAGTAGATACCCTTTGTTTGGAAAATCCTGTTCAGAATCATAGTGTAATCTTTGGGACTTATGCCATGCTCATTTGAATTCTTCCCATATTTTTTACATTTCTTTTGGTAAAACTATAATGGTTTTCATTTTTTACTTAATATCACACAATTAAACTCTCATATTTGAGTTTTATTGCAGCTTATCAGTGATAAAAAACAGATAGTAACTGTCATTGTTTGTTTCTTTGTTTTCCTAATAAGGCCTGAAAACAGCCAATCCTTGTTAAGCAACTGTGCAATGTAACATATTTGCTAGAATTACATGGATTATATATTTCTTAAAGGGAAAAATTTGAGAGTATCATGGATTACCACCAGCATTATTATTACAGTAGTTGCTCAGATTTGGTTAAGGAAGCCCAATCAATGTATAGTGAAAGGATTATTAGCTCTCTGCTAAGATTCAGATATTGTTTCAAAAATCTCAGCTCCAATAATTCCACAACATCTAAAAACAAGTGTTTGTGATCATGTGTAAGCATGAAATTGTTCCAAGTAAGTGAGGATATTTTAGTTATGTGAAAGACAGTATCAATGGAAGGTTATTTGTTTTATACCAGTGGCTGGGATGGTGGAATTGGGGTTATTTCTACAGTAATTCTTAGATGATTACTAAACTGTTAAGAAATGCCCCATATCATTTGTATCTAGGAAAGAAAAAAATCAGTATCATACTGCTGTCATCTGTCAGAAATGTTCATTTTATTTTGAATTACATGTGGCTTTTGAAGTTACCTTGAATTCCTGGTGACCACATGTTTTTGTCTGGAAAACCTGGGGAAAGTTATCTGTCCCATCTACCCTGCTTTTTTTTTTTTTTTTTTTTTTTTTTTTTTTTTTTTTTTTCTCAGTTGGAGCTGCTGTTTAGATGATGCTTTTACTATGTAGGAGAGAGTTTTTATTAAGGATATATTTGAAGATTGGGTTTTCCATATTGTCTTTCATTCTTTGACCTTGGCAAAGTGTACAGTAGATTTTCATGATCATTGCATATTTCTTGTCATTGAAATGTATCTTTTATGTTTTTAAATGTATTCATTTTACACTTGTGACATTATCATTGACTTTAAGAGGTAGAAATAAAAAATAAAAATAAAAAAAAGAAAATGAATGAGATCCACACACCTGCGTGTGTGAGACTATCACGGCAACGGCGACACCCACAGGCATTGCCGCCTTCACGGAGAGGGCCTGGAAAACTCAAGACTGTCATGGAGGTTCAGTTCCACACACCACCCTTCCAGGGTGGTTTCTCCCTGAAATCGTATGTGAGCCCAGAGAGAAACTTCCAGTTTCCGTAGAATTCTGGAGAACTCAGAGAGCCAGCCCCAGAAGCCCCCCTTTCCTGGCCGATCTGGCCCCACCTTCACCTACCACACAGGGCCCTGTGTCTGTGATTTCTGGCTTCGGAGGGCGGGATACCCAGGGCCCTTGGGTGCTCACGCATATTCATGAAGGGGTGAAGCTGGTGGGTCTTTATAAGGGCCACTGGCGGGGTCGGACTCCTGACTGGACCTGCGTACAGCACAGAGGCCAACTGAGGCGCACAGGAGCCGCCGGCCTCTCTCTGCCCGTGTCTGTCCGTGAAATTCCGGCGAGGTGCCCTCGCGATGGCTCTCCCGACACCTTCTGACAGCCCCTTCCCCGCGGAAGCCCGAGGACGAGGACGGCGAAGGAGACTGGTTTGTAACCTGAACAAAAAAGATTCCCTGCTAGCGTGCTTTGAGCGGAACCCGTACCCAAACTGTCCAGAGAGACCTGCCTTTTGGAGCCCAGGATTCAGATTTCGTATCAGAATCGAAGGTCCAGGCATCCAGGCCAGGGTGGCAGGGAATCCGCGCACGCAGGCGCCTGTGCAACGCGGCCCACCGCGGGTGCCACCCTCCCTCCTTGGTCGCCTTCACCCACTCCAGGGCGTGGGGAACAGGGGGCTTTCGTGAGCCAGACAGCAGGGGTGGCCCCTCTGCTGCAGCCCAGCCAGGCTTTGCAGGCAGAAAGAATCTCCCGACCTGCCGTGGCACTCGGGGATTTTGAGTTTGCTGCTCTGGCTCCTTCGGAAGTGGCGCTGTCCCACCCTCAGACACCTGGGTGACCTCCACACCCGAACAGATGGCAGGGGAACCAGGACCCGCAGTACGGAGGCTTTGTGGGTGCTGTGCTCAATGGGACAGCTTGGGCCGCTCAGGCTGAGTCAAACAGTTGGCAGGTGGACCAGGACTCGCAGCACGGCGGCCTTCTGTGTGCGTGCTCAGTGGGACAACTTGAGCCGCTCAGGCTGAGTCACAGGGGCAAGGTGTGCTTGCGCCGCACACGTCCCACATGAGTCCGTATTGGGGCTGGGGCCAGGGTCCCCAGGTCGCCAGGGAGCATGGGAACGCGAAGCCGAGGCACATCTACCTCCGCAGCTCGCGCCCACGGAGGCCTCTGCGTGTCAGAAGCAGATGTAAGCCATCCAGGCACCCTCCCAACCGCTCCAAGAGCTGGAGCGTTCATCTGCACTCGCATCCACCCTGTTATATGAGCTCCTGTCGACCCCAGAATTTCAGCAAAAGGCACAACCTTTCCAAGCAACGGAGCCACTGGGGGAGTTGAAGGACATGGAAGAGCCCACTTTTCTGGAACCACTCCTCAGCCAGGAAGAACACGGGGCTCTGCTGGAGGAGCTTTAGGACGCGGGGTTGGGACCGGGTGGGGGCAGGGGGTGGCCCCTCTTTCGCGCTGAACCTCAGGCTCTGTATGGAGACCTGCGTCTTCCCTTCCAGCTGACCTGTCTAGGATCCCTGAGTCCAGGTCCGGCGAGAAACTCCACAGAAAGGAGGGCTGTCATTCTTTTCCTGAGCATCCCAAGGATTTCAGAGCCAGCCCAGGCTGGCATGCGCGGGTTCATGGGCAGCCGGCTAGGGTTTGGGACCAGCCCGGACAGGGCTCTCATCCCTTCCCCCGCCTCCCCACGCCGTACACCTCCCCCCAGCCTCCGCGTTCTTCAATGGTGTAGGCGGAGACCTCCACCCCGGGAAACACCGGCCCGGGCAGCGGCCAGGCCTGCTCTCCTTTCCACAGCTCAACTCCACTACCTCCCCGCTCCACCCTCCCTCGCCCACCCGTGCCCCGCCGCATCACGTGGAGCTCCCGGCAACTAAATGTAGACCCCGAGATCTTGCGCAAACCGTGGTTCTGCCCTTTCTAGGTGGGAGGGAAGCCAGGCAGAAATGGGGAAAGGAACGGAGACAAAGTGAGAGGGAGGGACAGAGGGAGGAAAGGACGGATGAAAGGAGGGACCTTGGAAGGGATGGAGGGAGGGAGAGAGGAAAAGAATAAGAGAGGAAGGGAGGGAGGGAAGGAGGGAGAAAGGGAGGTATGGATGGAGGGAGAGAGGGAAGGAGAGAACAGAGGGAAGGAGGGAGAGAGGGAGGGAGGGAGAGAGGGAGAGAAGGAAGAACAGAGGGAAGGATGGACAGAGGGAGAAAAGGAGCAAGAAACAGAGAAAGGAAGGCAAAGAGAAAAGCGGTCTTCTGCCACCAGGACCAGCAGGACCTCGAACTCCGGGAAAATGTTGGGTGCCCAGTGCAGGCTGAGTGCTCGGCCCACGGCCGCATCGGCCGGCGGTGGGCTCACCGGCCCTCGGGATCGCCTGGGTTACTTCACCCGGGAGCGATTCAGACGAATTCCGCTTCCCAAGGAATGGGCGAATTCCCCAAAGAGCAGAGCCGAGACTCGAATTGTTGTCCGTTTTTCATCCACATGGTTCACAGATGACATGTGAGCCTCCCCAGCTAAGCCTACAACAGAGCGCGAGGCAGATACTCCCATCCACACAGGAGTCACACTCAAGCTGAGTGAATCATGATTCCGGATTCCACGTTCCTTTGCCTTCTGCAAGGGGTGGGGGGCCTGTTGCTCATGTGTCTCTGGCCCCCGAAAGCGTGACCATGTTGACTGTTTGTTTCCCGAGCTCTGTGGGAACACAGAAACCTCCAGCGAAGCGTGGAAAAGCAGCATCTTGTCTTCGCTCTCCTTTCGTTTCCAAACAGGCCATTTTGGAGACTCCCCATGTTGCAGGAAACAGGAATCCGTCGTCAGGCCTTGATTCCTCAGTCCCCTGTCCAGGCTCAAGGCCCATCAGGCGGCCTCCCTTTCACTGACATTCCAGGCCTTCCCCCAGCTCGCGAGCTCCCGAGCTTCCAACACATCGGGCCGGCTCAGGACAGGGTGTGCTCGGAGGCGTCAGGGCCCATGGCCCACAGTCCTGGGATCATCTCTGGTCCTCCGCCTTGCCGCGGAAAAATTGATTTGGATCCCACGCCGCCCCTCTTGCAAGGCCCTCTCTTGCCCCACACACCCAGAGTCGCCGCCAGGGCTGCCCAGGGGCGAACAGCCAGCCCAGCCCCGCGGGCCCTTTTTCTCATAATGCCCACACCATCGTTGCTTGTTCCAACGAGGACCCGCCCATGGCCAACAGGACAGGAAGGCCCTGCTTTGCCCCGCGCTGACACTAGAGTCCCGGCAGCCTGATACTGGGAAAGAGGGGCTGACAGACACCCAGACACACCACACCACCACCACGAGCAAACCCACACCGACACACACACAGATACACACGGGTGCACGCGCACAGGCACACACGGACACACACAACACACAGACACACACACGGACACATGGACACACGCACACGGACACACACACAAGGACATACAGACAAAGACACAGACACAGCTTGAAAGAAAGCCAGGGAGACCGGGATGGAGAGATAGATATGGGGGGAGAGAGAGAAAGTTGGAGGGGGAGAGAGACAGAAGGTGATAGAAGAGTGAGAGGTGGAGGGGGAAGTAGAGAAAGGGAGAGGGTGAGGGAGTTGCAGAGAGAGAAAGACAGAGCCTTGGAGAGGGAGGCTCTGCTCAGGTAGACAGGGCACTTTGAGCAGGCCGGGGTGAGGTGGAGGGTGCTTGGGCCAGGCTAGGACAGGGGGTCAGGGCCGCGAATGCGGGAAAACCAGCGGAGCCCTGAGACGTGTTTTTTTTTTTTTTTCTTGGATTGGTTGATTGCTTTGGGGGTGCGTTTCATAGGGTCCTTCCTTTGTTTGCTTCTTTCTGTCTCGTTGGTGCTGTGGCCCCGAGATTTGTAGAGTGCACCCGTCCGTCTGGTGGAAGCCTTGGCACAGAGCGTGTCCACGGGGCCAGGTCTGTGTATCTTTCGTGTCCTCGGGACTACACTTTACACGAAGTCGGTGGCAATGGGAAACAAGGTGCGCAGGGACGGATTTCTTCGTGGCTGGCGAAGACAATATCCTTCCCCCGGGGAAAGCATTCCATGGTTTCTGGAGCGGAGGTCTTGGCTGGCGACTGTGGGACCTGCTGCCCCAACTTGGATGGTTGCGGAGGCACTTGATGAATGAATTGAATTGCCTGGGGTCCGGGTAGTGGGAAGACACCCTGGAGGGCAGGAAACCCGCGCCTGCGCCTTCCGGGTCTAGTACGCGCCGCAGCGCCCCGGCTGGAGCCGGGCTTCTGGTGGGGCTGCAGCCAGTCGAAAGAGGTGGGATGCTGCCGCCTGGCGGTATTGCAGCTGTGGACCCCCACGAGGAGGTTTCATCTCGACATAAATCTTTTTCTTTCCTCAGCTGATCTGTATCCTTCATTTTAGATTAGTGGTAACTCCACAAATTTAGAGGCACAAAATATGGTTGCCCATACCTTATAATCGCATTACCACCTCCCATTACCACCACCTTTCCCCCTCCTCCCCACCCTCAACCCGTAGAATAGGTCTCGCCATGTTGCCCAGGCTGACCTCAAACTCCTGGGCTTAAGTGATTTGCCTGCCTTGGCCTCTCAAAGTGCTGGGATCAGTGGTGTGAGTCACTATGCCCAGCCAACCACCACCAAGTTTTGATTCAGCAGCACTGGGTGATGGAGCTAAGGACCCACAAATTTAGAAAAGTTTTTAAATATCATAACGTTTCTGTGAGGAAATAGTATTTGATATTACATTTTTAGACTCTTTTATAATGTTCTGTTTTTTTCCACCGAGCACAGTACTAAGTAGTAATTGGAAAATCACAGAATAAGTCATATTACTTTTTCTAATACAGAGTCCTTGGCTGTTCTCTAAGCTAATCCTGATCACCTACATTGAGAAAAAGAAAAAACCCCAGAGTGTGAGGAGACAGGAGATAGTAGCCAAACATCCAAATAGGTGGGAGTGAATAAGGCAGATGACACAGACGAGATGTCCAAAAGTCAAGGAGAAAGCCAGATGTTAAAGTGTGGTTTGTGAAGCTATGCTCCAATGGAAACCTTTTCTGCAAAGCCCTGATTTCTTTCTCTTGCTTTTATTAGAGACTGACATCCTCTGCCCCATGCTCTTCAATTTTCTAGGACTGGACTTCCCCTTCAACGATCGTTCTTCCAGGTTACAAAGAAAATCAAAGCCCTTTGCATGGCTTACAAGGGACTGGAGGACCTGGCTGCTTGCTCTTTTATTCCTTTTGAGGACATGGGGCCGTCTGTGATTTTTAAGGAACTCTATGTTAAACATTTTCTAATTTCCATTTTGAGTCTTGTCTAAAATGTGTGAGAGTAGTGGAGATATTGGGATTTGGTTTAGAAATCCCAGAAAGGCCAAATCCAGATGTTGTATGTTTTCTGCTTTATAATTTCATATCCTGTGAAGGTTTCAAATGTGATTCTACAGAAATTCATACTCAATAATTTTATCAGAACACTAAGCTTCTGCCCCATGTAGTAAAACCTAATGTTATTTTACTTCAAAATTTTAAGTTTTTGGTATGTATTGAGGCTAATATTGTAAACACGCTGTGCCATAATTCCTAAACTGTAATATGGTTTAATGTATCTACTTTCTACATTTAAAACATGTACTTTGCCATTGAGGAACTCAGAATATTGCTGAGCATGTATTAAATACCCATTTGTTTCCTGTTTTTTAAATAGTTATCATTTTATAATTTTCTCTTGTTTAGTTTGAAGTTTACTAGGATTTTTTCATTGATATGTATGTGTACATATATATATATATACACACACACAAGTATATACATAACAACATATGTAATTGATATATATGTATATGCTTTATATATGTGTATAGACACACTTCTGTGAATATATGCATGTGTACATAACATTAATTTTTGACCAATAAAAAGTGCATAATTATGTATTGTGTACATTATAAAAATTTGATAGGTATATATATTGTAAAATGTTTAATACAATTAAGTTGATGAACATTTATGTCACCTCACATGGTTATGTTTTTTGTAGTAAGAGCATTTGAGGTATCCTACTGTTGCAGCAAATTTTAAGCATAGAAAACACTGTTATTAACTACATCTTAAAGCTATACATTAGACCCCCAAAACTTATTTATCTTATAACTGGAAGTTTGAACTCTTTGAACACCTTATCATTTTTTCTACCTCCAGGCCTGGTCATTACCATTGTACTCTCTGCTTCTATGAGTTCAGGCTTTTTAAATTGTCCACATAAGTGAGAACATACAGTGTTTGTCTTTCTGTGCCTGGCTTATTTTGCATAGCATAATGTACCCAAGTCCATTCATGTTGTTGAAATAGCAGAATTTCATTCTTTTTTATGAGTGAATAATATTCGGTTGTCTATTTATACCACATTTTCCTTATCCATTCAGCATCTACAGATAAGTCGTTTTTTTAAAAAAAATACCTTTGACAGTTGTGAATAACGCTGCATTGAATACAGGGGTGAAGATTATTTTTGAGATGCTGATTTTAATTTGTTTATAGACAGAAGTGGAATTTCGGGATTTTACAATAGTTCTATTTTTTAAAATAACCTGCAAACTAATTTTCATAATGACTCTTCCAGTTTGCAACTCATTCAGACTGTACAGAAATATTTTCTCACATCCTTGTTAACACTTGTCATATTTCTTTTTTTTTTGATATTAGCCATTCCAACTGCTGTAAAGTTGTATCTTTTGATTTGCAATTTTCTCATGAATGGTAATGTTTAGCGTCTTTCTACACACCTGTTGGCCATTTGAATATGTTTGTAAAAAATATTTAGTCTTGGTTGGTGGAGCCAAGATGGACAAATAGGAACAGCTCTGGTCTACAGCTCCCAGCTTGAGTGACACAGAAAATGGGTGATTTCTGCATTTCCAACTAAGGTACCAGGCTCATCTCACTGGGGAGTGCTGATCAGTGGGTGCAGGATAGTGGGTACAGTGCACCATGCATGAGCCAAAGAAGGGTGAAGCATCACCTCACCTGGGAAGCACAAGGGGTCAGGGAATTCCCTTTCCTCCTCAAAGAAAGGGGTGACAGATGGCAACTGGAAAATCGGGTCAATCCCACCTTAATACTGCACTTTTACAACCAGCTTCCAAACAGCACACCAGGAGATTATATCCTGCACATGGCTCGGAGGGTCCTATGCCCACGGAGCCTCAATCATTGCTAGCACAGAAGTCTGAGATCGAACTGCAAGGTGGCAGTGAGGCTGGGGGAGGGATGCCCACTATTGCTCAGGCTTGAGTAGGTAAACAAAGTGGCTGGGAAGCTCAAACTAGGTGGAGCCCACCACAGCTCAAGGAGGTCTGCCTGCCTCTGTAGGCTCCACCTCTGGGGGCAGGGCACAGACAAATAAAAGACAGCAAAAACTTCTGCAGACATAATTGTCCTTGTCCCACAGCTTTGAAGAGAGTAGTGGTTCTCCCAGCACACAGGTTGAGATCTGAGAATGGGCAGACTGCCCCCTCAAGTGGGTCCCAGACCCCCAAGTAGCCTAACTGGGATGCACCCCCCAGTAGGGGTGGACTGACAACTCACACGGCCAGGTACTCCTCTGAGACAAAATTTCCAGAGGAACCATCAGACAGCAGCATTTGCAGTTCACCAATATCCACTGTTCTGCAGCTTCCACTGCTGATAACCAGGAAAACAGGGTCTGGAGTGGACCTCCAGTAAACTCCAGCAGACCTTCAGCTGAGGGCCCTGTCTTTTAGAAGGAAAACTAACAAACAGAAAGGACATCCACACCAAAAACCCATCTGTACGTCACCATCATCAAAGACCAAAGGTAGATAAAACCACAAAGATGGGGAAAAAACAGAGCAGAAAAACTGGAAACTCTAAAAATCATAGCACCTCTCCTCCTCCAAAGGAACGCACCTCCTCACCAGCAATGGAACAAAGCTGGATGGAGAATGACTTTGACGAGTTGAGAGATGAAGGCTTCAGAAGATCAAACTACTCCGAGCTAAAGGAGGAAGTTCAAACCAATGGCAAACAAGTTAAAAACTTTGAAAAAAAAAATACACGAATGGATAACTAGAATAACCAATGCAGAGAAGTCCTTAAAGGATCTCATGGAGCTGAAAACCATGACAAAAGAACTACGTGAAAAATGCACAAGCCTCAGTAACTGATGCGATCAACTGGAAGAAAGGGTATCAGCGATGGAAGATGAAATGAATGAAATGAAGCATGAAGAGAAGTTTAGAGAAAAAATAATAGAAATGAAGAAAGCCTCCAAGAAATATGGGACTATGTGAAAAGACCAAATCTATGTCTCATTGGTGTACGTGAAAGTGACAGGGAGAATGGAACCAAGTTGGAAAACAATCAGCAGGATATTATCCAGGAGAACTTCTCCAACCTGGCAAGGCAGGCCAACATTCAAATTCAGAAAATACAGAGAATGTCACAAAGACACTCCTCGAAAAGAGCAACTGCAAGACACATCATTGGCAGCTTCACCAAAGTTGAAATGAAGGAAAAGATGTTAAGGGCAGCCAGAGAGAAAGGTCGGGTTACCCACAAAGGGAAGCCCTTCAGACTAACAGCTGATCTCTCGGCGGAAACTCTACAAGCCAGAAGAGAGTGGGGGCCAATATTCAACATTCTTAAAGAAAAGAATTTTCAACCCAGAATTTCATATCCAGCCAAACTAAGCTTCATAAGTGAAGGAGAAATAAAATCCTTTACAGATAAGCAAATGCTGAGAGATTTTGTCATCACCAGACCTGCCCTAAAAGAGCTCCTGAAGGAAGCACTAAACGTGTAAAGGAACAACCGGTACTAGCCACTGCAAAAACATGCCAAATTGTAAAGACCATCGAGGCTAGGAAGAAACTGCATTAACTAACGAGCAAAATAACCAGCTAACATCATAATGACAGGATCAAATTCACACTTAGCAATACTAACCTTAAATGTAAATGGGCTAAATGCTCAAATTAAAAGGCACAGACTGGCAAATTGGACAAAGAGTCAAGACCCATCAGGGTGCTGTATTCAGGAAACCCATCTCATGTGCAGAGACACACATAGGCTCAAAATAAAGTGATGGAGGAAGGTCTACCAAGCAAATGGAAAACAAAAAATGGCAGGGGTTGCAAACCTAGTCTCAGATAAAACAGACTTTAAAACAACAAAGATCAAGAGAGACAAAGAAGGCCATTACATGATGGTAAAGGGATCAATTCAACAAGAAGAACTAACTATCGTAAATATATATGCATCCAATACAGGAGCACCCAGATTCATAAAGCAAGTCCTTAGTGACCTACAAAGAGACTTAGACTCCCACACAATAATAATCAGAGACTTTAACACCCCACTGTCAACAGTAGAGAGATCAACACGACAGAAAGTTAAAAAGGATATCCAGGAATCGAACTCAGCTCTGCACCAAGCGGACCTAATGGGCATACACAGAACTCTCCATCCCAAATCAACAGAATATACATTCTTTTCAGCACCACACCACACATATTCCAAAATTGACCACATAGTTGGAAGTAAAGCACTCCTCAGCAAATGTAAAAGAACAGAAATCATAACAAACTATCTCTCTGACCACAGTGCAATCAAACTAGAACTCAGGATTAAGAAACTCACTCAAAACCGCTCAACTACATGGAAACTGAACAACCTGCTCCTGAATGACTACTGGGTACATAACGAAATGAAGGTAGAAATAAAGATGATCTTTGAAACCAACGAGAACAAAGACACAACATACTAGAATCTCTGGGACTCATTCAAAGCAGTGTGTAGAGGGAAATTTATAGCACTAAATGCCCACAAGAGAAAGCTGGAAATATCTAAAATTGACACCCTAACATCACAATTAAAAGAACTAGAGAAGCAAGAGCAAACACATTCAAAAGCTAGTAGAAGGTGAGAAATAACTAAGATCAGAGCAGAACTGAAGGAAATAGAACCACAAAAAACCCTTCAAAAAATCAATGAATCCAGGAGCTGTTTTTTTTGAAAAGATCAACAAAATTGGTAGACTGCTAGCAGACTAATAAAGAAGAAAAGAGAGAAGAATCAAATAGATGCAATAAAAAATGACAAAGGGGATATCACCACTGATCCCACAGAAATACAAACTACCATCAGAGAATACTATAAACACCTCTATGTAAATAAACTAGAAAATCTAGAAGAAATGGATAAATTCTTCGACACATGCACCCTCCCAATACTAAACCAGGAAGAAGTTGAATCTCCGAATAAACCAATAACAGGCTCTGAAGTTGATGCAATAATTAATAGCTTACCAACAAAAGAAGTCCAGGACCAGATGGATTCACACCCGAATTCTACCAGAGGTACAAGGCGGAGCTGGTACCATTCCTTTTGAAATTATTCCAATCAATAGAAAAAGAAGGAATCCTCACTAACTCATTTTATCAAGCCAGCATCATCCTGATACCAAAGCCTGGCAGAGACAAAACAAAAAAAAAAGAGAGTATTTTAGACCAATATCCTTCATGAACATTGACACAAAAATCCTCAATAAAATACTGGCAAACCGAATCCAGCAACACATAAACAAGCTTATCCACCATGATCAAGTGGGCTTTATCCCTGGGGATACAAGGCTGGTTCAACATACGAAAATGAATAAATGTAATCTAGCATATAAACAGAATCAAAGCCAAAAACCACAAGATTATCCCAATAGATGCAGAAAAGGCCTTTGACAAAATTCAGCAAGACTTCATGCTAAAACCTCTCAATAAATTAGGTATTGATGGGACGTATCTCAAAATAATAAGAGCTATCTATGACAAACCCACAGCCAATATCATACTGAATGGACAAAAACTGGAAGCATTCCCTTTGAAAACTGGCACAAGACAGGGATGCCCTCTCTCACCACTCCTATTCAACATAGTGTTGGAAGTCCTGGCCAGGGAAATCAGGCAGGAGAAGGGAATAAAAGGCATTCAATTAGGAAAAGAGGAAGTCAAATTGTCCCTGTTGGCAGATGACATGATTGTATATCTAGAAAACCCCGTTTTCTCAGCCGAAAATCTCCTTAAGCTGATAAGCAACTTCAGCAAAGTCTCAGGATATAAAATCGATGTGCAGAAATCACAAGCATTCTTATACACCAATAACAGATAAACAGAGAGCCAAATCATGAGTGAACTCCCATTCACAATTGCTTCAAAGAGATTAAAATATCTAGGAATCCAACTTACAAGGGATGTGAAGGACTTCTTCAAGCAGAACTACAAACCACTGCTCAATGAAATAAAAGAGGATACAAACAAATGGAAGAACATTCCATGCTCGTGGGTAGGAAGAATCAATGTTGTGAAAATTACCATATTGCCCAAGGTAATTTATGGATTCAATGCCATCCCCATCAAGCTACCAATGAGTTTCTTCACAGAATTGGAAAAAACTACTTTAAAGTTCATATGGAACCAAAAAAGAGCCTGCATTGTCAAGTCAATCCTAAGCCAAAAGAACAAAGCTGGAGGCACCACGCTACCTGACTTCAAACTATATTACAAGGCTACAGTAACCGAAACAGCATGGTACTGGTACCAAAACAGAGATATAGACCAATGGAGCAGAACAGAGCCCTCATAAATAATGTTGCATATATACAACTATATGATCTTCGACAAACCTGAGAAAAAGAAGCAATGGGGAAAGGATTCCCTATTTAATAAATGGTGCTGGGAAAACTGGCTAGCCATATGTAGAAAGCTGAAACTGGATCCCTTCCTTACACCTTATATAAAAATTAATTCAAGATGGATTAAAGCTTACATGTTAGTCCTAAAACCATAAAAACACTAAAAGAAAACCTAGGCAATACCATTCAAGATATAGGCATGGGCAAGGACTTTATGTCTAAAACACCAAAAGCAATGGCAACAAAGGCCAAAACTGACAAATGGGAACTAATTAAACTAAAGAGCTTCTGCACAGTGAAGGAAACCACCATCAGAGTGAACAGGCAACATACAGAAAGGGAGAAAATTTTTGCAATCTACTCATCGAACAAAGGGCTAATATCCAGAATCTACAATGAACTCAAACAAATTTACAAGAAAAAAGAAAAAAACAAACAACCCCATCAAAAAGTGGGCAAAGGATATGAACAGACACTTCTCAAAAGAAATTTATGCAGCCAAAAAACACATGAAAAAATGCTCACCATCACTGGCCATCAGAGAAATGTAAATCAAAACCACAATGAGATACCATCTCACACCAGTTAGAATGGTGATCATTAAAAAGTCAGGAAACAAGAGGTGCTGGAGAGGATGTGGAGAAATAGGAACACTTTCACACTGTTGGTGGGACTGTAAACCAGTTCAACCATTGTGGAAGTCAGTGTGGTGATCCCTCAGGGATCTAGAACTAGAAATACCATTTGACCCAGTCATCCCATTACTGGGTATATACCCAAAGGATTATAAATCATGCTTCTATAAAGACACATGCACACATATGTTTATTGTGGCACTATCACAATAGCAAAGACTTGGAACCAACCCAAATGTCCAACAATGATAGACTGGATTAAGAAAATGTGGTACATATACACCATGGAATACTATGCAGCCATAAAAAATGATGAGTTCATGTCCTTTGTAGGGACATCGATGAAGCTGGAAACCATCATTCTCAGCAAACTATCGCAAGAACAAATAACCAAACACCGCATATTCTCACTCATAGGTGGGAATTGAAGAGTGAGAACACATGGACACAGGAAGGGGAACATCACACACCAAGGCCTGTTGTGGGGTGTGGGGGGGGGAAGGATAACATTAGGAGATATACCTAATGCTAAATGATGAATTAATGGGTACAGCAAAGCAACATGGCACATGTATACATATGTAACAAACCTGCACGTTGTGCACATGTACCCTAAAAGTTAAAGTATAATAATATTAAAAAATAATGTTTAGTCTTTTGCTTATTTTTTAGTTGGGTTTTATAATTATTATTGTTTAGCTTCTGATTTGTATGAGTTTCTGCTATATTTTGAATATTAACCTCTCATCATATATAGTTTGCAAATATTTTATCCCATCTTAAATGTTTTCTTATTTTTTGCTGTGCACAATAGTTTAATACACTACAACTTTATGTCTGGTTTTATTGCTATACTTTTGATATCGTATTTAAAAAAAATTGCCAAGGCCAGTATCATGGAGGCTTTTCATATGCTTTTTAAAAGATTTTCTTTTAAGGATTTATGTATTAAATTTAAGTATTTTAAGTGTCTGGCATAAGAAATATGATCAAGTTTTATTATTGTGCTTGCGAGTATCCAGTTTTCCCAGCACTAAGTATTGAAAGGCTACACTTTTTGTATTGCATATTCATAGTGCCCTGGTCAAAGATTAACTTTAGATGCATAGATTTACTTCTGGGCTCTGTATTCTGTTCCATTGGTTTTTGTGTTTGTTCCTATAAACATTCCATTCTATTATGTTTACTGTAGTCTTGAAATGTAGTTTTAAATAATAAAGTATAATGTCCCCAGATTTCTTTTTATTTCTCGTGATTTCTTTGGCCTTTCAATATTTCTTATAGTTTTATATACATTGCAGACTTTATTTTTTATTACTGTAAAAAGTGGCACAGGAATTTTTATAGGAAGTTGAATTAATCTACACTTTACTTTGGATAACATGGTGCTTAGACAATATTCTTCTAATCCATAAACATGTAATATATTTACATTTATTTGTATCTTCTTTAATTTTTTTCATCAATATATTTTATTTTTTATTGTAAAGATCTTTCACCGCGTTTGTTAAATTTATTGCTAAGAAATCTATTATTTTGTTGCTATTGTAAATGAGATTTTTTTTCTTTTTTACTGGTTTGTTGCTAGCATATAGAAACAAAACTGATATTTGTATGTTAATTGTATATTCTGCTTCTTTACTGAGTGCATTTATTAGATGCACTGTTTATATATAGATGCATTAAATGCAGTATTTAAATGTACTATTTATGTTTTTTATATATAACATTATGTCATCTACAAACAGTGACATTATTTCTTCTTTTCAATTTGGATCTTTTAGCTTTTCTTGCTTAATTATTTGACGTAGGACTTAATTATTCTATGTAGGACTTCGTATTCTATGTTAAAATAGAACCGTTAGAACGGGCATAATATAGACTTGCATTGGTGTTTGTGCATTTGAAGGAGCAAACACCTCTTTTCATTTATCGTTGTTGTTGTTGTTGTTCTGTTTTTGAGACGGAGACTCGCTCTGTCACCCAGGCTGGAGTGCTGTGGCACGATCTTGGCTCACTGCTACCTCCGCCTCCTGGGTTCAAGCAATTCTCTGCCTCAGCATCCCGAGTAGCTGGGATTACAAGTGCCAACCACCATGCCCGGCTAATTTTTGTATTTTTAGTAGAGACAGTGTTTCACCATTTTGGCCAGGCTGGTCTTGAACTCCTGACCTCGTGATCCACCCACCTCCTCCTCCCAAAGTGCTGGGATTACAGGTGTGAACCACCGTGCCCAGCCAGCTCTTTTCATTTTTGTAAACTGGTTTTAGTAGGTAAAGATCTTCATCTGTTGGGTCTCAAGGCTGATGAGATCTTTACTGGGTTTGCAGTAAAAAGGCTTGTAGCTGCATCACAAGGTGGCTGCCGAATCTGAAGTGGGTTTTACCTTTAGTGGGCTTGTTACCAGGAGCACATGTGGTTGTGAGTTCTGTTGGGTTTTTGGGCAGGCTGGATTGTCTTCAGGGCTTTGTTTTGTGAAGCAGGCACTAGGGCAGGTTCTGCTATATGCTGGGCCTAATAGCAGATGTGTGGGTGAGTGTGGCTCCCACTGTGTACCTAGCAGGTGTTCCCCAGGTTATCTACAAACAGTGACTTTTGAGCTGTTTTGTGTGAGTCACGAGTATGATGTCCCCAGCTTTTTTCTTATTCCTCATGATTGGCTTGGCCATTCAGCCTACATTGTAGGCTTGCATTTTCTATTACTATAAAAAGTGGGACAGGGATTTTGATACGGATTTGAGTTAACTTACAGATTGTTTTGGATAATATGACACCTTATTAACCAAAGGGCCTGGCTTCTCAAAATGACTCTTTTCTATCTTGGGTTTTAGCGAGGTTTCATAATGCCCTGTATCGCAAAGCTCACTATATTGCCCAGGTTGTTTTTGAACGCCTGGCCTGGAGCAGTCCTCCCGCCTCAGGTTCCTGAATGGAGGAGATTACCGTCATGAGCCATTGTGCCTGGATCTCTCGTAAAGTTACTTTGGTTGATGGATGGCTGACTAGTTTTTATTACTGCAGGGGAATACAAAAGTAGGAACCCCCTATTCCACCATCTTGATAATATCACTGTCTCCATACATTTCTTCCTTATTTTGTTCTCTTGTATGTTTGTGTGTTATTTTAGGTGCAAATATTAAGACCAATAGGCTAGGATTTATACATTGTGTAAAAGGTAAATTAGATAGCTAGTAGGTACCCTTATATATTATAAAGTTCACCTATAAGATTAAGTTTAGTGCACGCAAAAAGGGCTCATTAAAATTTTCATCCACTTTCTTCAACTTCTATCCAAACTATGATATAATTTATGCCACAATTTTTATTTTATCAATTACTCTTAACCATATTTCATAAAATTTATATTTTTTCTTTATTTAGAAATGTAAGGCTATTATTTGCTTTAAAGGCTGTAATACAGCTTTTTTATTTTGTGAAATAATAGCACCAATATTATAAATATTAATAGCATAAATACTTATTCATTAAAATCTTCCCATTAGAGAATTTTATTAATTATTGTAGTGCATTTCTGTAAAATTGTACTGCCATACACCACAGGGCAATCATTCAAAATGCCTGGTCTTCACAGGTGCACAGTCACTGTTGAACATTGTGGTTATTTAGAAAAATTCTTTTCTAGTGTTATATCAATGTTCCAAACAAGATTTTATGGGTAAATAATTCTCCCATTCTAGTTTTGCAATTCCATGTTAACTGTATTTTTATTTTAGGGTAGGTTCCTTGACATTGGTTTATAGTATTTTTGGTTTTACCTAAGTATTATTTTGGATGACAGTGTGCAGCAACTTTTAATGTACAGTTTATGTCAATGTGCAGTTTAACTACATATGAATCAGCCATATATTTATTCACAATTCAAGTTTAACAAACTTAATGAAAACTAAGCAAACTAACGTTACATGATAAAGCCCCAATCAGCTATCTTATACTTAAGCAAATACACCAAAAAATAGTTTGTAGCTTTATTGCTGCTTTTGTTCAAACTATGTTTTATATTCCTTATGACTAAGGAAATTTCTGACGTTGTCCTACCAGGCTAAAGAAACAAACAAAAAGACAGTGATTATGCTTTCAAGTAGCAGTTTGTTTAGAGCCCCAGATACTCCAACTGTAGACCACGATGCTCATATTTGTTTGTTTTAATAAGGCTGTAGCCCAAAACCTTACATTTTTGTGGAAATTAAAGCTTTTCAATTCCATACTAAAGACAGGACAGCCTCATGATCTAAATCCAAGGGTGATGGTTTAGAGTGAGGACCATTTCTTGTTGACACGGAGATGGTTGAGTTCTTCCACAATAAATCTATGTGAGAGGCAGGTTGTGATAAGTTGGAAGTGTTGGCTGCCTTCATGGTCTCAAATTTCTCTGTCAAGTTCACCTCAGCACTGCTGTACCCCTGTTCTGCTGTCAGGTTGGGAATGCTTGGCCAGTAGTTGTTCTCCACATGGTCCTCAACTGCCGGTGCTTCCCTGATCCACTGCCTGCCAGAAATGCAATTGTAGCAGAGGAGGCTGGTAAGGGGACAGAAGCCAGAGATGGTAACTGGCCACCGCCTCACTGGGGAAGAGAGTGGTGGGCTCTCAATCCTAGCTCACATGCAAAGTGCCATTTTCATCCCAGCACCCAGCGGTGTCCCCCATAATGTGCACTGCCTGGTCTGAGGTAAATGGAGAGCTCAGCTAAGGCCTAAAGTTGAAAAGGGGCTTTCCAGAGCCCCCAGTGTGCTGGACATCTCACCAGCCATGGAAAGAGTCTGTGTCCTTGTGGCCACAGACAGGCAATAATGGGAGCCTGCCCACATTTCAGGGCCTTCTGGAGTCTTCACTTGAGAGTTCAGCTCTGGCAACAGAGGACACTTCTGGTGTCCAGAGATTCTCAGTGCCTGGTGGATGTAAAACTGATTGATGGCATCTGCTGGCTTCTGGGAGCACTGCTTGGCCATCCTTATCTGTGAGCCCCAGCCAAGACACTGCAGAAAGCTTGGTCTCTGGCTAGCATTCTGGACTGTGAGACAGCGTGGCTGCAGCTAGCACGGGATGGAGAGAGTACAGTGTGGTGAAGTGGGGACAGTGGGCATTCTGCCACATGGCCTAGGGTTTCTCCTGACTCTGGACTGCCCAGGTGCGGTGACCAAAGGCAAACAGTTTCTAGGCCACAGCTCAAGGAGGGAAAACCCAGGCTGAGCCTGGTGATGGTTCTGAGTTGAGGAGACGAAGCTGGGAGTCCAGGGAGACTAAAGAAGCTCAGATAAACTCTGCAGGGCAGAGTATTCAGGGAATGAAAAGGACAAAGACACGAAACAAAAAAGCTCCAGAGTCTTCAGCTAAATACTGATCAGCACACGTATGTGTGTAAACTACAAGTCTGGGGGAAAAAATACCTGAAGGAAACAGAAAGAACAATGCTTGAACCTCCCACAGAACTAGGCATATTTGGTGTTCCCACCAGCAACAGTGGACAAATCATACTTCCTGGACCATTGGATGGAACACTCAGAAAAGAATTGCCTCAGTAGTGTGGAAGATTAGATCTAGGATGAGGCTGCTAAGGTCCTACTTAACAAGACCTCAAAGAAAACCCTCAAAGAACCAAAATCTTTCCAGATAATTTAACTGCATCCTAGAACATAGCTCAATAATATTTATAGGAACCCAACAATATCCAACACACAATAAGATAAATTTCACGTTGTCTGCCATCCAGCTGAAAATTACCAGGCATGTGAAGAAAAAGGAAATGTCTCAATAATAAGAAGAAAACTTGATCAATAGATACAGAAATGTCAAATAAGATAGAATTAGTAGGCAACGATATTAAAACATTTATTGTAATGATAACATTCCACAAGAAGAAGGTAAAGGGAAGCTAGAACATGGAAGTAGAGACATGGAAGACCCAGCTTGAATTTCTAGAGATGAAAAATACAATGTCTGAGATGAAAAATATACTAAATGGCATTTAATGTAGAATAGATATTATACAAAAAAGGATTAGTCAACTGGAAGATGTAGCATCAGAAACTATCAAAAATGGAACGTGGAGAAAATAATGGAAAAAACTGAACAGAAAATCAGCACCAACAGGACTAATATATGTGGAATTGGAGTTCCTGAAGAAGGTGGGGAGGAGTAGAAGAAAAAGTATTTGAAAAAGCTCTGGCTGAAAAAATTTAAATTTGAGAAAAACTGTAAACCCAGAGATCTAAGAACCAACGAACCCCTAGCACAAGAGACATGAGGATGACACACTGAAGCACATCATAATCAAATTGCCCCAACCCAGTAACAAAGAGAAAATCTGAAAGGTTACCAAAGGGAAAAGGACATTATACAGAGAGGAACAAAGATGAAAATAGGCTGAGCGTGGTGGCTCACACCTGTAATCCCAGCACTTTGGGAGGCTGAGTCAGGGTGATCACTTGAGACCAGAAGTTCAAGACCAGCCTGCGCAACATGGCAAAACCCCGTCTCTACTAAAAATACAAAAATTAGCAGGGCATGGTGGCACGCATCTGTAACCCCAGCTACTCAGGAGGCTGAGGCAGGGAGAATCGCTTGAACCTGGGAGGCGGAGGTTGCAGTGAGCTGAGATGGCACCATTGCACTCCAGCCTGGGTGACAGAGCGAGACTCTGTCTCAAAAAAAAAAAAAAAAAAAAAAAAAAAAAAAAAAAAGGCAGACATCTGGTTAGAAAGAACGCAAGGTCAGGCGTGGTGGCACATGCCTGTTATCCCAGCACTTTAGGAGGTCAAGGCAGGATGATCACTTGAGCCCAGGAGTTCTAGACCAGCCTGGGCAACATGGCAAAACCTGGCCTCTACATAAAATGCAAAAATTAGCTGGGTGTCGTGTTGCATGCCTGTAGTCCCAGCTACTTGGGAGGCTGGGGCGGGAGGATTGCTTGAACCCAGGAGGTAAATGTTTCAGTGAGCTGAAATCATGCCACTGCACTGCAGCCTGGGTGACAGAGGGAGACCTTGTCTCAAAAAAACAAAGAAAAGAAATAATGCAAACCACATGATAGTGGAGTGACTTCCATAAAATACTTAAGGATAAAACGATTGCCAGTCTAGAATTCTACACCCAGCAAAAATATCTTTCAAAAATGATAGTGAAATAAAGACTTTCAGACATTAAAAAGCTTGAAGAATGCATTAACAGCACGTCCTCACTACAAGCAATATTAAAGGAAATCCTTCAGGCAGAGGGAAAGTGAAACCAGATGGAATTCCAGATCTACACAAAAGAATGTAGAGCACCAGAGATGGCAAATGTGTGAGCAAAAATACAACATTAAGAAGGATTTTTAAAAGATAATTGACTGTTTAAGACAAAAATGATAACAAATTAATGTGAGTTTACAGCACATACAGAAGCAAAATGCATGAAAACAATAACACAAAACCCAAAAGGAGGGAAATGAATGGGCACTGTTTTAAGGTTCTTATCCTCTATGTGAAGTGGTATAATGTTGATGGCAGCCAATGCTAAGTTAAATACATATACTGTATTAATCTGTTCTTGAACTGCTATAAAGAAATGTCTGACACTTCTCAAAAGAAGACATTTATGCAGCCAAAAAAACACATGAAAAAATACTCATCATCACTGGCCATCAGAAAAATGCAAATCAAAACCACAGTATCATCACTGGCCATCAGAGAAATGCAAATCAAAACCACAATGAGATACCATCTCACACCAGTTAGAATGGTGATCATTAAAAAGTCAGGAAACAACAGGTGCTGGAGAGGATGTGGAGAAATAGGAACACTTTCACACTGTTGGTGGGACTGTAAACTAATTCAACCATTTTGGAAGTCAGTGTGGTGATTCTTCAGGGATCTAGAACTAGAAATACCATTTGACGCACCCATCCCATTGCTGGGTATATACCCAAAGGATTATAAATCATGTTGCTATAAAGACACATGCACACATATGTTTATTGTGGCACTATTCACAATAGCAAAGACTTGGAACCAACACAAACGTCCAACAATGATAGACTGGATTAAGAAAATGTGGCACATATACACCATGGAATACTATGCAGCCATAAAAAATGATGAGTTCATGTCCTTTGTAGGGACATCGATGAAGCTGGAAACCATCATTCTCAGCAAACTATCACAAGGACAAAAAACCAAACACCACATGTTCTCACTTATAGGTGGGAATTGAACAATGAGAACACAAGGACACAGGAAGGGAGATATCACACACCGGGGACTATTGTGGGGTGGTGGGAGGGGGAAGGGATAGCATTAGGAGATATACCTAATGCTAAATGACGAGTTAATGGGTGCAGCACACCAACATGACACATGTATACATATGTAACAAACCTGCACATTGTGCCCATGTACCCTAAAACTTAAAGTATAATAATAATACCTTAAAAAAATAATAAACAAATTTAAAAAAAAGAAATGTCTGAGACTGGGAATGGGCATGGTGGCTGACGCCTGTAATCCCAGCACTTTGGGAGGCTGAGGCATGTGGATTATGAGTTCAAGAGATTGAGACCATCCTTGCCAACATGGTGAAACCCTGTCTCTACTAAAAATACAAAAAAAATTAGGTGGGCCTGGTGGCGTATGCCTGTAGTCCCAGCTAAGCTACTCGAGAGACTGAGGCAGCAGAATCACTTGATCTAGGGAGGCAGAGGTTGCAGTGAGCCGAGATTGCACCACTGCACTGCAGCCTGGGCGACAGAGCGAGACTATGTCTCAAAAAAAAAAAAAAGTCTCAGACTGGGTAATTTATGAAGAAAAGAGGTTTAATTGGCTCATGGTTCTGCAGGCTGCACAGGAAGCATGATTCTGTCATCTGCTCGGCTTCTGGGGAGGGCTCAGGGAGCTTGCAATCATGACAGAAGGCAAAGGGGAAGCAGGCACATCTTATGTGACTGGAGCAGGAGGAAGAGAGAGAGGGGGAGGTGCCACACACTATTAAACAACCAGATCTTGTGAGAACTCACTCGCTATATAGTACCAAGTGGGGATGGTGTTAAACCATGAGAAACTGGCTCCATGATCCAATCACCTCCCTCCAGGCCCCACGTTTGGCACTGGGGATTACATTTCCACATGAGATTTGGGTGGGGACACAGATCCAAACCATATGATATACCATAAACTATAGAGAAATGGTTAAAACTCAAAACCAAACGAAGCCAAATAGTTATATGTAAAAGGCCAACAAAGAAGATTAAATGAAATAAAAATACTCAACAAATTCAAAAGAAGTCAAAGAGGAAAAGGAGAACCAACTATAGATGGGACAAATAGAAAGCAAACAGGAAGATGACCAAGTAAAACAAATCTCTCCGGCATTCCACCAGTTGTGTGTGATTATTTAACAACTCTCTGCCTCTGATAAGAATACCTGTCACACAGGGTTGTCATCAGAGCTTGCCACATGTGATATGGAAAGCCTGCTGTTTACAGACCTGCAATCATTATACATTAGCTCATATTGTTGGTAGCAGAGACCCAGGTCTCTGTGTTGGTCATGCTGAGAGCTCCCTTCTCATTGCTCTGTTTTCCTCCTCCTTTGATCCCTTTCTGTACTTCCACGCCCCACACCGTCTGATTGGAGAAGATTCTCAGCCTCTCGGTCTGCAAATGTTCAAAGTCTATGAATCAAATAGCCAACAAATGTATTTCTGTACGTTTATCTGCTACGCAGGGATCCAGGAGAAATACTTTCCTTCCTGCAAGAAGTCCGTGGCTGCTGATGCCAAGAATCTGCTCTCTCTGTCCTCTTGTCTTTTCTGATCTGCATATTCTCAACTGCCCTGCACTTCTGGGAAGACTTTACACAGGGACAACTATGAGTTTTTGTAAGAAGATGAGGAGTCACCACTTTTGGAACCATCCATTAGACGTTCCAATATTGCTGCAGACATGGACTCTAGCATGTTCTCTTTTTCTCTGACACCCATCCCTTCCCCCGTTGGCCACAGCAACTAGGGTTTGCTCTTCAGCTATGGCAGTGCCTACCTCTGGGGAACTGTGACTTTCTTTATACCCTATCCAATAACACAATGTGTCCTTATACACAGTAGGTGTTCAATATACATCTGTTGACGGGATTTCATCACAGTTAAATCTGTGGAGAGTTCAGCAGATAAGTGAGTTGCTCAAGATGGTCAGAGACCGTCTTCTTCCATTTGGGCTGCCATAACAAAATACCTTAGCCTGGGGGGCTTATAAGCAGCAGAAATTTATTTCTTATAGGTCTGGATGCTGGCAAGTGGAAGGTCAAAGTAGTGGCAGATTAGGTGTCTGTTGAGTACCTGTTCCTTATAGAGGGCACCTCCTAGCTGTGTCCTCAAATGGTGGAAGGAGAGAACAAGCTCCCTTGACTCCCTTTTACAAGGCCACTTATCCCATTCATGGGGTCTTTGCTTTCATGATGAAATCACTTCCTAAAGTCTTTGCCTCCTAATTCAAACCTAACCTATCAGGGGTTAGATTTCAACACACGGATTTTAGGGGCACACAAACATTGACTATAGCAGAGACATAGCTGGACCTGGGTCTGGGACCTTCTGGGTCCAGCTCCATTATGACACTTACACTGCACATGGCCTCCCACATGATGTAATTCTGTTCTGTGACATTGTGCCCATGAGGCAGGGATGCAGTAGAGGCCTCTGCAGACATGGCTTGTTCTTAGGACGTCCGCCTGGCTTTGTGCTGCAGGCCTGGAAAAATCCACCAGCTGCCCACTCTCATGCCTCACTCAGGTTCGTGGGTCCCTCCAGGCACATGTCAGATAGCCCACTCAATTTTTTACTTGCCCCACCTCCCTGGGTTCTCTTCTGAACTCAGGGACCATGGATGGAGCTGGGAGTCTCTGTTTTTAGTTCATGCTCTTGTCTCCTATTTGGGAACAATGCCCAACCAATGGAATCTGTTTCCTACTGTTTTCTAAGAACATCAGGGACTTCCTCCAAACTCTTCACCCACTCCCTCCATAATTCCTTCTCCCTCGGGGACACAGGGCACAAGCCCACCTCCTGTGTGAAGATCCTGCCACAGGGTGGCTCTTTGGTTTTCTGCGGGTATCCAGAGAAGAAGCTAAAGGTGAATGCACTCCGGAATCCGGGAGCACTGGTGATTTTCTCTCCTTAGCTCAGCGAGCATCCCCACAGATAGCCCTAGCCCCACCCCGGGCCCCCTGAATCCATACCATAAAATGTATGTCAGTTTTGTTCAACTAAGGACCCCGCTGAGTATTTAATCCCTATTTAAAGATGATGTTTGTTTTATTTTTGAGTTTAAATTAATCAGCCTCAGGATACAGAATTAGATAAGGCCGGGATTTAGCTCCCCTGGAATGATTCATTTCACATCGAGCCTTCTTAACTCTTTGGCTGCAGAGGGGAAGTGCCTGTGTCTTTCTCTGCAGAGTTGCCTAGGGCTGGCCAGGTGAAAAGACACGCTCCCTCCTCCTCATCCTGCCAGCCAGGGCATGGTGTGTGCTTATGATGCAGGGAGTTAGGATGCTAGCCTTTTCATCACAACAGTCATAAATCCTCACACAGGGAAATAGAGATAACATACAAGTAGGAAAAAAAGAAAAAAGAATCAGTCTTGAATTCTGCTACCTAAAGATAACCATTGGTACCATGTAGGCAAGCTTCCTTTCATGATGAGTCAAGTGTTTAAAAAATATGGCTCAATATTACAAACACACAGGACTGCATAGAGGATAATGGTATTAAACTTTCATGTACCTCCCAGTTAAAATTCAAATATGGTAACTTTTGGATGCATTTGCTCCAGAGTTTAAGGAAGAAAACATTACAGATTCAGCCATAATGTTCAAGCTGACACTCGAGTTATATGCCCCTTTTCCAGTCCAGTTACCACCTCCCTCCCACTATTCTGAAGTCAATGTGTGTCTTCCCATCCATGTTTAATACCTAGAGTGCATGTCCATGAAGAATGGATAGTGTTTTTTGGTCTGTTTTTGCAATTTTATACAAACAGCAGTCCATACATACTCTCCTGAAAGTTGCTTTTCCCTTCAACAATTTCTTCCAGATGAATCTAGAATTCTGCATTTCTGGTGAGCAGAGGATGCGTGCCTCCCCCTGCAACCCCCACCCCAAGGTGATGCTGATGTTCTGGTCCAAAGCCTGCACGTAGCCTGGTGAGGCTTCGGGTCTTGGGACAGGTCTGTTGTCAGCCCTTCCTAGGAAGCTCAGCCAGATGACCTTGGGGCTGGAGTCCTCACAATGCCCCTCGCCAGTAGTGCTCACATCCATCTTCACTCATCTTCATCAATATTTGTTATCGCACTTTTTGATATTGTTCCTGGAATTTGCAGTGTAGCTGAACGCGTGCCTTGTGTTTTCCAGCTCTTCCGGTCTCCTTCTCTGTGAATTGCTCCTGGCCCATATGTCTGTTGGATCTTTGGTTTCTCCTTGCTGACTTATAAGTGCTATTTTTTTTTTTTTAGAAGGAGTTTTGCACTTGTTGCCTAGGTGGGAGTGCAATGGCAGTACCGCGGCTCACCGCAACTTCCGCCACCCTGGTTCAAGCGATGCTCCTACCTCAGCCTCCTGAGTAGCTGGGATTACAGGTAAGTGCCACCACGCCCGGCTAATTTTGTATTTTTAGTAGAGACGGTGTTTCTCCATGTTGGTCAGACTGGTATCGAACTCCCGACCTCAGGTGATCCACCTGCCTCAGCTTCCCAAAATGCTGGGATTATAGGCATGCGTCACCAAGACTGACCAATTTTGATTTTAATGATCTGGATATCAATGCTTTTTTGGCCAAATACCTTACAAATATGTTTTCCCTATTGGTGCACTGTATTAGTCCATTTTCACACTGCCTATAAAGACATAACCCAGAGTGGGAAGAAAAAAAGGTTTAATTGGACTTACAGTTCCACATGACTGAAGAGACCTCAGAATCATGGTGGGAGGTGAAAGGCACTTCTTAGATGACAGTGGCCAGAGACAAATAAGGACGATGCAAAAGTGGAACCCCGGATAAAACCGTCAGATCTCGTGAGACTTATTCACTACCAGGAGAACGGTATGGGGGAACAGCCCCCATGATTCCAATTATCTCCCACCAGTTCCCTCCCACGACACAGGAGAATTATGGGAGGACAATTCAAGGTGAGATTTGGGTGGGGACACACAGCCAAACCATATCATGCACTGTCTTTGTCTTTTAACTGTATTCATGGTCTCTTTTGTCAGATCAAATCTTCTACATTTAATACAATTGAATTTATCAGTAATTTCTTTTATGGTGTCTGTGTTTTGTGTCATATTAAAAAAAATTTTTCTCTGCTTAGTGTCATAAAATATGTCCTCTGTTTCTTCTAAAAATTGGAAATCTGCTTTTCATATTTTGTTTTATTTCCTTTGTTCTTTGTTTCGTAGGGATGTGAGGTAGAAATCT
Source organism: Homo sapiens (assembly GCF_000001405.40). Taxonomy (NCBI): domain Eukaryota; kingdom Metazoa; phylum Chordata; class Mammalia; order Primates; family Hominidae; genus Homo; species Homo sapiens. Next base: position 30,870,056 of record NC_000020.11, on the reverse strand, counting down.
CTAGTAGTTAACTCTTGCTTTGTAACAAGTAACCCCACACCTCAGAGGCCTACGACCATAGGCCACCATTTCTCACTCATGAGCATGGGTTGCTTGGGAGGTTTCAGCTCGAAATGTGGTGGCTGAGCTGGATATGCTCCAAGTGTCTCCGATCCTCCTGGGGTCGGGGCCTGCCAGGGTGCCTTCTTCTCATGGCAATGGCAGGAGTGCAAAGAACAAAGGGAAATGTGAAGATCTCTTATCTTACCACCCAGGCTCAGAATGGGCAGACTACCACTTTACCACATCCATTGGCCAAAGTGAGTCAAGTGGCCAAACCAGAACTCAAGGGCAGGAAGTTTAAGTATGAATCCCATCTCCACATGCTATGATTTCCTGGGCTTTCAACTTCTTGAGGCTGAATTGTTTTACTCTCACCTCCCCAGACTGCAGAAAACACATTTTCTCCAGGACTCGTTGAGCCATAGGGCAGAATGATTGTAGTTGACAAGGACTAGATGGAACTCAAGGCTCCAGCGTCTGTGCAGTGGATAGGTGTCATCTGGCCACTGAGGCCACTTCCTTCCCCTTGTCCCCATCTAGGGCCCCTGTTCTGCTCCAATCTCCCGTCATTCTGCCCAGGCCTTCCAGGCATCAGCCTCTTAATGGTTCCTGGATTTGTTCCCTGTCTTCACTTCTATTATGTGAGGGTTTCCATCCTTATTTTGTAGAGGAGGACTGGACTGAGTCAACTCAGCCTGTCACGTCCCCACTCTCAGAACCTGGGTAACCCTGAGTGCTCAGCATGACTGGGGTCCCCAGGTGTCTCCCTCCACAGCACGTTCTGAAGGCATAGGAGCTGGACTGACATTCGGGACACCTAAACCTTTGTTCCACTTCTGCCATGACAGCTTCATTGGTCCAGGCAAATCATGGCAGCTCTCTATGCCTCATTTTTTTATTCCTCACACAATGGAATGACATTACCCTCAGTGCTTATGTAAGGGAGGAGAAATGGTTCCCCTGCCTTCTCCCCGTTTTTGCATTTGCCAGAGAATCAGATTTTTGTGTCTGGCCAAGAATATAGGGAAGGAAAAGCAAGTAAGCTTTGGGCGCAAAGAGGGCATTTGGGGGTTTCAATTAAGCAAAGAGAGTCGGGGGAAGAGAGGGGTGGTGGAGCATGATCTTTGGCCAATAGTGAGGAACTAATGAAGTGCAATGTGCATGGGTTAGGGTGTGTAGCAGCCTGGGTCCCATTCAAAGATAGAAAGCACACAGTGGGTCTAATGGGGAAGTGGAGTATAAAGGATTGCAACTATGATAAAAGAGTCACTGTAAGACATAAAGCAACTCTGCCTGGTGCCCTAGTGCAGAGGGAGGTACCCAAGGAAGCACAGATTTGAAAGGTGTTCAGATGTCATTAAATGTGGTTCAGCCACCACATAAGAGACGTTTGTGGGTTTGGGCAGGCTGGAGCTAGTCAGCAGCTTTTGCACGAGCACTAGGCCACCCACTGGAGTGCAGCTGAGGGAGCTGGCCATGAGCTGCTGGAGTACAGGGGAGGGAGCCTGCTGTGAGCCACTGGTGCAGGTGAGGGAGCCAGCGGTGAGCCGCTGGTGTGCAGAGGAGGGAGCCGGCCGTGAGCACCTGGTGCAGGTGAGGCAGCAGGCCGTGAGCCGTTGGGGCAGGTGAGGGAGCTGTGCATGAGCCGCTGGAGTGCAGGTGAGGGAGCTGGCCGTGAGCCCCTGGTGCAGGGATGCATGGCGGGAGTCTGGCTGCCTTTGTAGGGCAGGAAGCCTTCAGAACGCGTGGGTCCCGCAGGGTCTGGCAGAAGGAATGGCAGTTCTGTGCAGACCCTCTAGACTACAGGTCACTGTGTGCAGGTTGCACAAGGGATACAAGAGGGGGTCTGGGCAACTTTTCAAGAACTTTCATATCACATGGGCCCTGCCGCGTTTTGGTTTCCATGTCGAGATGTTGCAAGCCAAGGCTACAAGGTGGCTGAGGGACCACGCCTTGGTCTGTGGTTGGGGCTTGAACATGACCAAAGCCCAGCCAGAGAGCTCCTGTCCCCTGCAGTCTCTCCATCCTCTACCTAGAGGCCTGCAGAATGTTCACTTCCAGAAGGTATATTGAACAGTGTTTCCCAGATTATCACAGTGCACATATTGAAAGGTGCACTAGGAGCTGGGAGGCAATAGACTGAATACTGACACTAGAGACGCTGGCTCATGGTAACGAAGAGAAGCTGAAAAGGAGTGGGAAAGAACTAACTGTAATTTTACATCAATGATCTGCATCTTTGTTTTGAAGGTTTGTGGCAACCAAAATGACTATTCTTTCTACCCTCTTAGTTCAAACATAGCCTGAGACTTTTTTTTTTTTTTGAGATGAAGTCTCACGCTGTCACTCAGTCTGGAGTGCAGTGGCATGGTCTCAGGTCATTGCAATCTCCGCCTCCCGGGTTCAAGTGATTCTCCTGCCTCAGCTTCCAGAGTAGCTGGGGCTACAGGCATCCGTCACCACGACTGGAAAATTTTCGTATTATTAGTAGAGATAGGGTTTCACCATGTTGGTCAGACTGGTCTTGAACCTCTGACCTCAGGTGATCTGCCCGCCTCTGCCTCCCAAAATGCTGAGATTACAGAGGTGAGCCACTGTACTCGGCAGCCTGAGACATTTTGGGCAACAGCTGTGACAGAAGAAATGTGTATCCCTTCCAGGCTGGGGATTTAAGAAGTGGCTCATGGCTGATTGTGTTTTCTTTGCTCTATTTCTGGAACTGTGGGAGCATCTTCTGGGATAAGGGTCTATCTGTTTGAGTCTCTGAATGACTATGACCACCAGAGCCCCCTTGTTGACCCGTGATGGATGTGAAATCAATTGAGAAGTCAAGGCCGGGTGCAGTGGCTCACACCTGTAATCCCAGGACTTTCAGAGGCTGAAGTGGGCAGATCATGAGGTTAGGAGATCGAGACCATCCTGACTAACACGGTGAAACCCCGTCTCTACTAAAAATACAAAAAATTAGCTGGGCATGGTGGCGTGCACCTGTAGTCCCTGCTACTCGGGAGGCTGAGGCAGGAGAATCTCTTGAACCCAGGAGGTGGAGGTTGCAGTGAGTTGAGATTGCACCACTGCACTCCAGCCTGGGCGACAGAGCAAGACTCCATCCACCACACCCCAACCCCCACAAAAAAAAAAAAAAGAAGTCAACTTTGCTGTTAAAGCCACTGAGGATTGTGGGCTTGTTTGTTATACAGCATCACCTGTCCTGACCAATGCATGACTCATTTCATCCTTGGCACAGCCCCCGAGAGAAGGGGTTTTATCCTCATTTCACAAATGAAGAGTCAAGTCTCAGAGAGGTTAGCAGCATGAGCAAGCTCACACAGCGAGGGGTGGAGCTTGGATTTGAATCCAGGTCTGTCTAACCTCAAAGACTGAAGTGGGGATGAAAATAAGTTGTCATTGTTGTTTGCCTGTCATCCAGGTGATGTAACTCTTGTCTAGGCTCTGTCTACGGGGGCTTTGTGACATACCTCTGCACTGATCACCCAGGTGACGTAACTCTTGTCTAGGCTTTGCCAATGGAGGCTTTGTGACATATTTCTGCACTGATCACCCAGGTGATGGGACTCTTTTCTAGGCTCTTCTATCCTTGGATTGTAACCTTGAAGGATCTTGAACTCATATCCTTTCAGGGATCATAAAAGGGAGCACATCAAAGCTGTCATGACAAAGTTGTGGAAAAGTGGGCAATATTGCCAAATGCAAAATATCTGGGCTATATTTTGGTCTCAGATCACCATTTGAGATTCCTGGAAGATAGGGAATATGGAGGCCAACTCCCATAGGGATGTTGTATAAGACTCCAAGCCCTAAGTCAATCATCTCAACCCTGTGGATCAGCACTCTCCATGTAATGGGGCATCTTAACCCATTTTGTGCTGCTATAACAGAATATCATAGACTAGGGAATCTATAAATAAAATAAATTTATTTCTTAGAGTTCTGGAGGCTAGGAAGTCCAACTATGAGGGGTCTGCATCTGGTGAGAGCCTTCTTGCTGTGTCATCTCATGACTGAAGGCAGCAGAACAAGACTTTCAGAAAGAAAGAGAGCAAAAGGGGCTGAGCTTGCTTTTAATACAAGCCCACTCCCAAGATAACTAACCCACCCCCAAGATAACTAAACTACTCCTGAGATAGTGACATTAATCCATGCATGGGGGCAGAGTCTCATAACCCAATCACTCTTATTAGGCCCCGCCTCTCAACACTGTCACATAGAGGATTAAGTTTCCAACATGTGAGCTCTGGGGGACACATGCAGACCATATATGGGGGATTGATGAGTATATGGGAGGCACCAGTCATGAATATTTTGGCTGAGAGTTGTGTTTGAGAGCTGAAGCCATGCTCCATCATGGCAGGGCACACATAGACCTTTGAATGCTCTGAGGAATGAATATTTGAATATTGAAGAGTGTAACTCATGGCAGAAGGTGGAATATTTAAAAGGCAGAATGCCTGGTTCAAGTAAAAGAGTGAACAAACAGCCTGTAGCCTGTGGCTGGCTCCTCTTCCCTTTCCGTCCCCACCTTTCACCTCTCTCTTTCTTTCTTTCCCTCCCTCCCTCTCTTTCTCCCTTCCCTCCCACTCTCCTTCCTTCCTCTCTTCCTTCATCTCCCTTCCTCTTTCTCTCCCTCCCTGCTTCCTTGTTTCTTTCCTTCTCTCTTTTTCCCTCTTTTTCTTCCTCCTTCCTTCCTTCCTTCCTTCCTTCTCTCTCATTTCCTTCTCTCTTTCTTTCTCTCTTTCCATCTTTCTCTCCCTCCATCCTTCTTTCTCTCATTCTTTATTTCTCTCTTTCCTTCTTTGTCCCCTTCTTTCCTTCTTTCCTTTCTCCCTCCTTCCTGCCTTCCTTTCTTCTCTCTTTCTTTGACTGATGTGTTCTGAGCCCAAGCAACCTGTGGGGTACTAAGTGGTACCAAAATTGACTCAAGAATCAGGAAGAAATAGAAAACCTAAGAAGTACTACAACATGAAGAACATAAAATCTCTAGTAAAATAAAATCTTTCACAAAGGAAGGACTAGGCCCAGATGGTTGTATGAGCAAATTTTACAGACTTCCAAAGAATGGATCATTCTAATTATGGCCCAAACAACTGTAGCTAGGAATATTAATGCTTGATTTTTCAAAAGTCTCATTTCCTAAAATCTGTAGGTTCAAAGATAGATTGACATGTGTTGGAAATCCTCAAATTTGTGCAGTTCCTTGGAGTTTTAGCATTAAAAAAGAAATTCCTTGCCTGCATTAACTTTAAATTTTGTAACAGTTACCATTTAATAGAGATACTCTATTCATTTATATGCACTCTGATTTTATAGGAATGGAGACATATGAGACACATGGCTCTGCAACCAGGTTTTTTACTTTGTAGATATCTTGGACATCATTTTTGAGCATCCCTTTAAAATTTATTTTTTTAAATAGCTGCATAGTATTCTATCATATGAATAGCCATAATTTCAATAAACAGTAAGGTGATAATCATTAATGTGATTGATAAACATTAAGGTGATTTCTAGACTTTTGTTAATTAAAAAGGTGGTATAATACTTTCTCCCATTCATACATAATTCCAGGCATCATGAGTATGTCTGTAGGGTAAATTTCTGGAAATGAAATTGCTGAATCAGAGAGTATTGCCATTTATAATTTGGGTATATATTGTTTAATCACAATTGATAAAGTTTGTACAAATTTATAATCCCAGTAACAAGATGTGAGTACCACTTCAAACTCCACAACTTCACTGGCAGTGTTTGAAGTCATGATGCATATTGCCAGCCTCCCTTCAAGTAAAGTTCTATTAACCCTACAAAAATTTTATAAATGGCAGATGTTACATTTCCAGATAGCTTTGTGATAACCAAAAGAGAATTGATTTATTAGCAATTTTTATCACATTGAAACAAAATATTATTTTTGATAAATATCATTATTGTTATGTATTTAAAACATCTCATGTATTAAGAAATCATACTTTAGATGGGGCCAAGCTGGCCGATTAGAAGCAGCTGTGGCCTGTGGCTCTCATGGAGAGCAATGAAAACTGCAAGTGAATTCTGCACCTTCAATTGAGGTATTCAGGTTCTTGCACTGGGACTGACTAGGCAGAGAGCTCGACCCACAGAGAGTCAGGAAAAGCAAGTGGGGCAATGGCCCACCTAGGTGTGTCACAGAGCTAGCTGAGCCCCCACTCTCAAGCAAGGGAGGTCATGAGTGATTGTGCGACTCTGCCCGGAAACCATGCTTCTCCCGTGGATCTTTGCTACCTGCAGATCAGGAGGTCCCCTCATGAGCTCAGCCACCACGGCCTTGGGTCTGAAGCACAGAGCTGTGTGGAGTCTCAGCAAAGCGCTGGCTGGGTTACTGGGGCATGCATGGAAGCCCAGGCGTTTTGCATACTCTGCCCTGAGAATTCCAGCAAAGCGGGAGATACATCCGTGCATTCCCCTAGGAAAGGGGCTGAATGCAGGGAGCTAAGTGATATCATTCTGAGGCCCCACTCCCACAGCACCTCACAAGACCCATTGGCTTGGAATTCCAGCTGGCCAGCGGCAGCAGGCTGGAGACAGCCGGAGGTGGACCGAGTTCCCAGGGGGAGGGGCAGCCGTTCTATCTGTGGTTTGAGTTGGCCACTCTAGACTGCTGGTACCAGGGACCAGGAGGAGTCATCCATAACACAGCACAGATGTTGTGACTGATCATGGCCAGGCTGCTTCTTTAAGTGAGACCAAAATCCATCCCTCCTCTCTGGACAGGGCCTCCCCATCAGAATTTTAGCAAATCCAGCCAGAGTTCTATGGACAGAACTCTGATTTCTCCCTGGGATGAAGTCCCGAGGGAGAAGGGTAGCTGCTTTCTCCCCAGTTCAGCCGACTGAGCCTTTCCAGCCTGCTGGCTTTGGAGACTCCTGGGGGTCAGCACAACACACCTGCCCTGCCAAAGGGCAGCCAGACTGTTTCTTTAAGCAGTCCCTGATCCTGTTCCTCCTGACTGGGTGAGACCTCACAACAGGAGTCTCCAGACACCTCCTACAGAAGTGTTCCAGCTGGCATCAAGTCAGTACCCCCTTGGACTGGTGCTCCCAGAGGAAGGATCAGGTTGCCAGCTTTGCTGTTTCACAGACTTCACTGGTGATACCTCCAGGTGCAGGAGAGACTGAGGTGACTAGGGTCCAGAGTGGACCCCCAAAATTCATATCAGCCCTAGCCGTAGGGAAGAGTGGTCTGACTGTTAAAAACAAACACAACAACAACAACATCAACAAAAAACCCCACAAAAACTCCATTCAAAGGTCAGCAACGTCAAAGATCAAAGGTAGATAAGCCCACAAAGATGAGAAAGCATCAACACAAAAACGCTGAAAACTCAAAAAGGCAGAATGCCTCTTCTCCTCTAAATGACAAAAACACATCCCCAGCAAGAGCACAAAACTGACCCGAGGCTGAGATGGCTGAATTGACAAAAGTAGGCTTTAGGAGGTGGGTAATAACAAACTTCTCTGAGCTAAAGGAGCAGTTCTAACTTAATGCAAGAAGCTAAAAATCATAAAAGAACACAGTAGCTGATAACCAGAATATTCATTTTAGAGACAGGATGGAGCTGAAAAACACAACATGAGAACCTCACAACATAACCACAACTATCACTCACAGAATAGGCCAAGTGGAGGAAAGAATCTCAGAGCTTCAAAACTATCTGTCTGTTATAAGACAGGAAGAGAAGAATAGAGAAAGAAGAATAAAAAAGAAAGAACAACAAAACCTTCAAGAAATATGGGATTATGTAAAAAGACTGAACTTAAGACTGATAAGGGTACCTTGATCCACCACGATCAAGACGGCTTCATCCCTGGGATACAAGGTTGGTTCAACACAGGCAAATCTATAAATGTAATTCATCACATAAACAGAAATAAACATAAAAACAACACGATTATCTCAATAGATGCAGAAAAGGCCTTCAATAAAATTCAACATCCCTTCATGTTAAAAACTCTCAATAGACTAGGTATTGAAAGATCACACCTCAAAATAATAAGAGCCATATATAACAAACTCACAGCCAATATCATACTGAGTGAGCAAAAGCTGGAAGCATTCCCCTTGAAAACTGGCACAAGAAAAGGATGGCCTCTCTCACCACTCCTATTCAATGTAGTACTGGAATTTCTGGCGAGGGCAATCAGGCAGGAAAAATAAATAACTGTATTTAAATAGGAAGAGATGAAGTCAAATTATCTTTGTTTGCAGATGACATGATCCTGTATCTAGAAAACCCCCTCATCTCAGCCCAAGAGCTTCTTAAGTTGATAAACCACATCAACAGAATCTCAGGATACAAAATCAGTGTGCAAAAATTGCTAGTATTCCTATACACAAACAACAGGCAAGTAGAGAGCCAAATCGTGAATGAACTTCATTCACAATTGCTACAAAGAGAATCAAATACATAGGAATACAGCTAACAAGAGAAGTGAAGAACCTCTTCAAGGAGGACTACAAACCACTTCTCAGAGAAATCAGATAGGGCACAAACAAATGGAGAAGAATTCCATTCTCATGGATAGGGAAGAATTCATTCCTGAAAATGTCCATACTGCCCAAAGTAATTTATAAAAGAATTCAATGTTATTCCCATTAAACTACCAATGACATTCTTCACAGAATTAGAAGAAATTATTTTAAAATTCTCATGAACCAAAAAAGAGCCCAAATAGCCAAGGCAATTCTAAGCAAAAAGAACAAAGCTGGAGGCATCACACTACCCAACTTCAAACTACACTATAATGCTACAGTAACCAAAACAGCATGGTACTGGTACAAAAACAACCAATGAAACAGAATAGAGAACTCTGAAATAAGACCATACACATACAACCATCTGATCTTTGACAAACCTGACAAACACAAGCAATGGGGAAAGGATTCCTTATTTAATAAATCATGTTGGGAAAACTGGCTAGCCATATGCAGAAACTGAAACTGGACATCTTCCTTATACCTTATACAAAAAATAACTCAAGGTAGAATAAAGACTTAAACATAAGACCTAAAACCATAGAAGAAAACCTAGGCAATACCATTCAGGACATAGGCATGGGCAAATTCTTTGTGACTAAAACACAAAAAGCAATGGCAACAAAAGCCCAAATTGACAAATGGGATCTAATTAAACTAAAGAGCTTTTGCACGCAAAATAAACTATCATCAGAGTGAACAGACAACCTACAGATTGGGAGAAAATTTTTGCAATCTATCTGTCTGACAAAGAGCTAATATCCAGAATCTACAAAGATCTTAAACAAATTTACAAGAAAAAAACAGCCCTATCAAAAAGTGGGCAAAGGAAACGAGCAGACACTTCTCAAAAGAAGACATTTATGTGGCCAACAAACATGAAAAAAAGCTCATCATCACTGGTCATTAGATGAATGCAAATCAAAACCACAATGAGATACCATGTCACGCCAGTTGGAATGGCGATTATTAAAAAGTCAGGAAACAGCAGATGCTGATGAGGCTGTGGAGAAATAGGAATGCTTTTACACTGTTGGTAGGAGTGTAAATTAGTTCAGTCATTGTGGAAGACAGTGTGAAAATTCCTCAAAGATATAGAACCAGAAATACCATTTGACCCAGCAATCCTATTATAGGGTATATACCCAAAGCATTATAAATTATTATACTATAAAGACACATGCACTGTATGTTTATTTCAACACTGCATGTTTATTTCAGCACTGTTCACAATAGCAAAGACTTGGAACCAACCCAAATGCCCATTAATGATAAACTGGATAAAGAAAATGTGGCACATATACACCATGGAATACTGTGCATTTATGTCCTTTCCAGGGACATGGATGAAGCTGGAAACCATCATTCTCAGCAAACTAACACAAGAAAAGAAAACCAGGCCAGGAGCAGTGACTCATGCCTGTAGTCTCAGAACTTTGTGAGGCTGAGGTGGGGAGTTTGAGATCAGCCTGCCCAACATGGAGAAACCCCGTCTCTACTAAAAATACAAACAATTAGCCAGGCATGTTGGCACATACGTGTAATCCTAGCTACTTGGGAGGCTGAGGCAGGAGAATCGCTTGAACCCAGGAGGCAGAGGTTGTGTTGAGCCGAGATCACGCCATTGCACTCCAACCTGGGCAACAAGAGTGAAACTTTGTCTCAAAAAAAAAAAAAAAAAAAAAAAAGAGAGAGAGAGAAAGAAAAAGAAAAAAGAAAACCAAACACTGCATGTTCTCACTCATAAGTGGGAGTTGAACAATGAGGACACATGGACACAGGGAGGGGAACATCACACACTGGGTCATGTCATGGGGTGGAAGGCTAGGGGAGGAATAGAGTTAGGAGAAATACCTATGTAGATGACGGGTTGATGGGTGCAGCAAACCACCATATCACGTGTATAACTATGTAACAAACCTGCATGATCTGCCCATGTATCACAGAACTTAAAGTACAACAAAGAAAACTTTACATAAATGCATAAAGTCTAGAACAGCTAATATATTATAATGAAAAGTCAACTATAATCCCAGCTCAAAGAGAACACCATAAAATTATGAAGAGCTCTCCACAAATCTCTAAATTTATGTCTTCCTAAGATTACATTTCTATTTCTTCTTGAATAATTTCCTCATTTTAGCTATGATTTAGTGATAGTAAGATGGTAGTTATGAGGAGAAAATTCTCCTAGCACTCCATTGAGAAAATTCTGCCTCATTTCACCACACACCTGAGTCTTAAGCAGTCCCTTCTAATGTAGCTGAATAATAGATCCTCACCCAGCTGAGTCTATGAGTTGAGTCCATGTATGTGAGATAAGGCCCCCAAGTAGAGGTAATAAGCTGGGAAAGCCATCAGCTCATCTTTCTTCAGGTCTATATTTGTCATTGTCACTTGTAGAAGCAGGACAGCCCTGGCATTGGGATTGGTAGTAACAGAGAGTATCAAAGGGAAAACTGAACTTCCCTAATTTTTGGAAAAAAGCAGATTGGAAACAGATGGGCTCCAAAGTTTTCCATGTGTGAGGTCATTGTCCCAGGTAGTCTTGCTCAGGACATTTCTTGTCAGCAAAACAGAAGTCAAACGATATTTCTACCTTCCAAGAGAATAGAACATAATGTCAGATTTTCTCATGGATTCCCACAAGTTCAAGAAACTTTCATGGCCTTATTTAACTGCTTAAGCATTTCAACTAAAAAATTATTTGTCTTTCAAATACACAGGAATCTGTTTGCAAAAAATTTAACCAGAAAAAGTTGGAATTCTAAAGTAAAAAATGCATAAGGCCATAAAAATTTTTTACATCTTTTAATTTATATGTCAACTGGGGAAAGGAAAACATTCTCTGAAGTTCCTTTTATACCATTAAAGTCTTATTCTTTATTACCAGCAATACAGGGTGACTTATTCAGGTTGAATCTTAAAGGTAAACTATAACTTAATTTTAAGTTTTGGCTAATTTTTAAGCATTTCTCAGTCACCTACCATGATTTCATCTCAGAAACCAAAATCTCAATTTCATTTAGACCTTTGAAATATTAAAACAGAAGGTTAAATGCTTCAAAATAATATTCATGTAGACACTTACATATGTGGACCAGGAATCTCCATATATTTCAAAGTTTATGAGAACATAACAAATGTTGATACACACATTTAATTCTGAAATAAAGGTTTACAACAAATAAAGCTGTAACAAATCAAGAAAATTTTGTAGGTTACACATTTTATGTCTAAAAATATAGGTATGAAACACTCAAGGATGGATAAAAGAAGAAATCACAAGAGAAAATAGAAAATATCTAGAGACAAATTAAGAACATGAAATACCAAAAGTTAAGAGATACATCAAAAACAGTACCATAAGGAAAAAATTTATAGCTATAAATGATTATAAAAAATAAGATACCAAATCAACAACTTTACTCCTAAGGAACTAAAAACAGAGGGAAAAAGAGGGACGATTAAAGAGGGACAACTAAAAGCTAGCAAAATTAAAAAAATGATAAAGATAGCGGTGGAAATAAGTGAAATAGAGAATAGAAAATCAATATCAAAAATCAACAAAACCTAGTTTGTTCTCTGAAAAAGATCAAAACTGACAAAATTTTATCTAGATTAAGAAAAAAGGTAATATTCAAATTACTAAACTCAAAAATAAAATGGGTACTTTACTAACAAATTTTTGGAGTAAAAAAGGAATGTAGGAGAGTACCATAAGGAACTATACACTAAAAAATTGAACAGCCTAAATAAAATGAACAAATTCCTAGAAACAAAAATCCTACTAAGACTGAATCAGAAAAGTTGAATAAACCTATTCAGCAAGGAGATTCAGCAGGAAGATTGCATCAGTAATCAAAAACCCAGCAACAAAGAAAAGCCTGGACCAGATGGTTTCACTGTTGAATTCTACCCAATGTTTAAAGCAGAATTAACATCACTTTTTCTCAAACTTTTTCAAAACTTTGAAGAGGAGGTAATTTTTTCTAACTTATTCTATGAGGCCAGTATTACCCTGACACCAAGCCAGACAAAGGCACCATAAGAAAACTACAAACAAACATCCCTTATAAATGCTGATGCAAAAATCCTCAACAAAATACCAGCAACTCAAACTTAGCAGTACATTAAAAGGATTATACACTATGAATGAGTATAATTGACTCCTGAAATAAAAGTATGTTCCAGCACATGAAAATCAGCACAATATCACATTAACATAAAGAAGGAAAAAACCCTCATGTGATCATCTTAATCAAAGAAGAGAAAGCATTTGTCAAAATTTAACCCACATTCATGATAAAATATACTTAATAAACTATAAAAAGAAATAAAACACCTTAACATAATGCTATACAAAAAAACAAAACAAAACAAAAAAACACAGCTAACATGGTGAAAGACTGAAAGCTTTTACCCTAAGAGCAAAAAGAAGGATGTGTGCTTTTACTATTTCTATTTAATATAGTACTGAAGGTTCTGGTTAGTTAAAACAATAAGGTGAGTAAAAGAATTAAAGATATTCCAATTTTTTAGAAAGTAAAAGTATCTGTTTGCAGATGACATAACCTTATATATTAAAAATGTTTTAGTTTCTGTGTAATAAACTGTCAGATGCAATAAATAAAATTCAGCAAACTGCAGGATACAAAAATCAATACACAAAAATCAGTTGTATTTCTACAATAACAATAAATTATCTGAAGAAGAAATCAAGACAACAGTATCATGTATGATAGCATCAAAAGAATAAAACACTTAGAAACCCACTTAACCAAGGAAATGAAAAACCTGTACAGCAAAAACTATAAACATGGCATGAAAGTATTAAAGATGACACAAATAAATGAAAAGACATCATGTGTTTATGGACTGGAAGATAAAATCTTGTCAAGGTGCCATTGTTATCTATGGTCATCTACAGATTCAATAATATCACTGTAAAAATTCCAATATATGTAAAAACAGAAAAACCTATTCTAAAATTCAGATGAAATCTCAGAAAACCCCAAGCAGCCAAATCAATCTTAAAAACTAACAAAGTAAGAGGACTAACACCTCCTGGTTTCAAACTTCAGTACCCAAAATAATGCTGTACCAGCATAGAGACAGACACAAAGACCAATGCAATAGAAACAAAGAACCAAAAAATATGGTCATGATTTTTAACAAGGGCGTCAACTCTGTTCAATGGGGAAAGGACGGTATTTTTTTAAATGGTGTTAAAAACGGATATTTACATCTATCTATCTATCTATCATCTATCTATCTATCATCTATCTATCTATCTATCTATCTATATCCCAAATTACCTTTTTGTCTGTCATTTATGTTGCAGATCTATTTCCCCAGTCTGTTGACTTTTGACTTTGAGACATTTTTCTCTCATACAAAATTTTAATTTTTATGGAGTCAAATACAACCTTGGCGCCGATCTGGTTCCCACACTGCCCAGCCTGCGTGAGCACTATTTTCCTCATGGCCAAGGCGGGATTAGAGCGGCAGGAGAAACGCGAGAAGGAGGAGCAGACGCTCAGCTACCCAGTCCGCCCTCCGCCAACGCTGAAATATCCCGTCGCCCACCTCCCTCAGCCTTGGATTCGGCTCCCAGAATAAGCAACAGCTTTACTTCCACACAGGTGTACCCACCTGTGAATCCCTTGGATCGAACGTCTGTTGGAGAGCTCAGGTGCCCTTGCTGTGGTCCTTTCCACGTTGGGGAAAGCTGGTCAGCTGGAGAACTTCCTCCCACATCGTTAGTAAGACTAAATCCCCAACTGAGCTGAAACTGAATTTTCCTCCCATGTGGGAGGGGAAGACTCTTGTTTCCATATTCACAGAGTGCCTTTGCACCTGTCCTAGATTGACGACATATTTTTGTAATTGATGAGTCTTTTCATCTATTAGGAGATCTGTGCTTAGGAAAGGTCTTCCGAATGTTAACTCAACAGGATTTTATTATAAGTTTTACTTTGGAGCAGTTCAAACCCGCTGTAAGCTATGGGTGTTGGAGATAGTCAGGCGTCTGATTTAGCTAGAGTCTTCTTTAGAGTAGGATTAGCCCTTTCACCTTTCCAGAGGATTGCGGTCTGCACACAGAGTGAAGGTAATATTGGATTCTTAAAGCTGAGGATAGGTGTTGGGATACACCTGCTGTGAAAGACGGGCCATTGCCACTTTGCAGGCTTTTAGATTACCCAAACTGAGGAGTTATTTCTTCTGGTAAACATTTTTCAGATGGGGTGCGGAATGCCTCGATCTAACCAGCGAAGGTATCAGTAGGCATTAGCAAATATTTGAATCTCCTGCAGAAAGGTATCTGAGTAAATTAGAGTTGCTAGCTCTCACCTGGGTAGGTTCCTCAATTTTTTTTTTTGGACAGGTTTACCTGGAGAAGGAGAAAATTGCTGTTGGTTTGGGTCATGTCAGGCACAGAGCTCACAGGGCTGAGTCACCTGCTTTCCTGTCTCAAAAAGATTTACCCCTATAAACAAATGAGACATTAACAGAAGCCAGGAATCCCTTCTAGGGTGAAAAGAATCATTAAAGTGCTGAATTATATTCCTATGATTGGTACTTGGCATTAGTAATTTATTACCATCATTCAGCCAGCCAGAGGGGCCCTGGACTGAAATGCAATCCCTGGCCCATTTTTATTCTTCTTCAGAGTATTCCGGCCCAGTTCTATGTATGCTGACCAGCACGTCCATAAGCTTCATTGGCCCTTTCAGTGCAGGGGCCTTGGCTTGGCATCTACAAGGGCATTTCCTTTTACATGGCCAGTGTCTCTTTTGATGTCCTCTGGAATTAATTATAGTCACTTTTTGGCAGCAGAGCAGCATTCTAACAAGCTCAAAATCTGAATGATGTTGTATGGAAAACTCTTGGGGGTCAGCAGTCCCTACCCATTCCAAATTGCAGCATAAGCATGAAGCACTAAAAAATCATACTTGAAATCAGTGTAAATGTTAACTTTTAAATCCTTTCCCAACTGCAGGGGCTAAGTTCAATTAACTCAGCTTTTTGGGCTGAGGTCGAAGCCAGCAAGGCTTGTGCCTTGATTCTCTTGTGCTGACTACTAATAGCATACCTAGCCCTCCTGTTCTCCTGATGCATAAAACAACTTGCATCTGTTAACCACTCTTCCTTGGGATGGTCAAGGGGCTCATCTCTCTTAAGTCTAGCCTGCTAGAATCAATTTGTTTCATAACCTATGACATGCTTCGGCTCTGTCCCCCGTCAAATCTTATCTTGAATTTTAGCTCCCATAATTCCTATATATCGTGGGAGGGACCCAGTGAGAGGTAATCGAATCGGGGGATGGGTCTTTCTCATGCTGTTCTTGTGACAGTGAATAAGCCTCATGTGATCTAATGGTTTATTTGTTTATTTTTGAGACATAGTCTTGCTCTGTTGCTCAGGCTGGAGTGCATTTTCGTGATCTTGGCTCACTGCAAACTCTGACTCCTGGGTTCAAGAGATTCTCCTGTCTCAGCCTCCTGAGTAGCTGGGATTACAGGTGCCTACCACCATGCCTGTCTAATTTTTGTACTTTTAGTATAGATGGGGTTTCACCATGTTGGCCAGGGTGTCCTCGATCTCCTCACCTCAGCTCATCCACTGCCTTGGCCTCCCAAAGTGCTGGGATTACAGCTGATGGTTTTATAAAGGGGAGTTTCCCTACACAAGCCCTTTTGCCTGCTGCCATGTAAGAGATGTGACTTTGTTCCTCATTTGCCTTCTGCAATGAGTGTGAGGAATCCCTGACCACGTGGAAATGTGAGTCAATTAAACCTCTTTTCTTTATAAATTACCCAGCCTCAGATATGTCTTTATTAGCATCATGAGAACAGACTAATACAACCTGTATGCCAGAAAGGCTAGAAGTACCTGTGGACTCTGGCAGATAAGCAGCTGGGTTTATGGTTTGGCAGGCTTTAAGGATTATGTCTGGAGGGTCCAGCAATAAGGCCTGATACTTTCATAAATGTTCTCCTATTATCCACTGCTGCCCTTTAGCTTCTAGGACCACCTTCCTTTGGTGTGGGGTCAAAAACCTGTAGGTGCTGTTCTAATGTTAGTTTATTAGCTTTGCCTGCTAAAAAACTGGTAGCAGCAATAGCTCTAAGACATCAAGGCCACCCTGAGGCCACCTGGTCTATCTGCTTAGAAAATTAGGCTACTGGCCTTGGAATGTCCCCCAGTTTTGGGACAAGATTACCCAAGACCTATGCCTTGCTTTTTGGTCACATAAAGAAAAAATGGTTCATCCAACTTGGAGACTCTCACTTCTGCAGCAGAGCCCAATTTCTCCTTGAGAGTATTGAAGGTTTGCTTGCAGTTCTCATTACATTCTAGGAGCTCTAAATCTTTCCCTTTAGTGTATCATATAAAGGCTTGGCTACATGCCCAAATCTGGGCACCCATAAGCAGCAGTACCCAGCCATCTCCTAAAAAAGCCCACAGTCATTATTTGGACAGGGACCATTGGGTGACTAAAATAACTTTTTTGTCTTCTAGGGATGTTGATCAGTTCCAGAGGTTAAGACAGATTCCAAATATTTAAGTCTTTCAGTCAAAATCTGAGCCCTGTGTGGTGATGCCCTATATCTGCAAGTTCCCAGGAAATTTACCAACTTAACAGTATTATTATGAGTCTTCTTTAGTTGGGTTAGCAATAAGCAAGTCACCTACGTACTGAATAATTGTGTCCCTTTCCAATTGTAGATTTGTTAAGTCCTTAACTAGAGCATTTTCAAATAAGCAGGGTCTACCCCAGAACCCTTCAGAGATGACTGTCCAGGTTAGTTTTGAGGCTGAATGCGTATCTGGATCATTCTATTCAAAGGCAAACATATTATGAATCTGGATGCATTGAGATCCAGAAAAGTGCATCTTTCAGATATAAGAATGTAAACCAGCTTGCATCCCCTGGGACTTGGTAAGTATTTGGGACAATGAAGTGTACGAAGACAACTGCATTTCTTAATGCTCTTAGGGTTCTGACAGATCTGTACTTGCCATTAGGCTTTTAATCTGGTAACATGCGAGTATTGTAAGGAGACTCTCATGGCCTTAATAACTCATATGGCAAGAATTTGGCAATAAGGGGTTGAATTTCCCCTCATGCTTCTTGCCTTAAAATGTATTGTCTCTTCTGAGGGCGAGGAGCACTAGGCTGAAGTTGGATTTGAATGGGGGAGGTGTTTAGTGCGTTTCTCAGAGCCTGTGTGGCCCAAACCTCAAGATTTCCTTGAGACAACATCTCAGCTGGTAAATGTGACAGCTCATTCTTAACTTCTTTTTTCCCCTGAGGGGTCAGGAACAAAAGTAACACTTTCTATGCTTTATGATCTGTGAAGGTGACCATGACTTGGTCTCCTGAGTCAATAAACCTCTCCCCAGTAAGAGGTCAGGCAATCAGACAGTACTAAAAAGGCAGGTGAGATAGCTAGAGGCTCTGGAGGACAACTTAGAAGATACAAAAAGGAGTGTTTGGGGGCTTGTCCATCATGAGAAGACAGGAGCCCATTGTATTGAATCAGGACAGAGTAATCTGCTCCCACACCTAACACGAAGTTAATACTCCTACCTACTACTTCAAGAGTCACCTGAGGCTCCTCCATCTCTCGATAGCTAATAGTCCAATGGGAGCGGAGGTAGGAAGTATCAGGCCCTGCCACTTTTGAGTCTGCTGGGCTCTGATGATGGCTCCCTTGGAAGCACAGTGCATTTCCTTCGGCAGTGGCTGACCTTCCTACAGAAGGCACATTGATTTATATCCAAGGCACGGTGGCCGAGAGGCACAGACTGGGACTTTCACCTTCTCACTTCCTCTGTGAAGGCCAGGGGTTAAGGGGCTGCCTCTGAAGTGGTGGAGAGCACAAGGCTGCAGCTAGAAGCTGGGCCTCTTGGAAGATTTGCTTTATTTTATGTTTTCTCTGCCCAATTCCTGTGATGGAAAACTGCAAAATCCAAGTCTAAAATCTGATCCGTGGGAGTCTGGAAGCCTAAGGCTGCTTTTGGCAGCTTCCTGCAGATATCAGAAGGAGACCGCGCTATAAATTAAACTCCTAGCAATGCCTGTCCCTTCTTGGAGTCAGGGTCAGTGTTAGTGTATTTCCTCAAGATCTAAATTATCCACCCTTGTAATAAGGCTAGATTTTCATCTATTCCCTGAGTAATTTTCCAGACTTTATAAAAATTAAAAAGCTGTATCACACTTTTTTTTTATTCCTACACGGAGTCAAATGATCAAAATTTTTTCTCTCTATATCCTACTTTCTTCCTAACTTATTTGTCTTTTCTAGATTCTAATCCTCTTTTGGGTCCTAGTCAGGCACTGCTGTGCCTCCTACTTGAGAGGTGTCATGCCCCTGGTTGCAGGATGCCACCCTATTAGCATGTGCTGTAGCCACTCCCATCATGCACTGCTTTTCTACCATGCAGCAGGTAAACATAAATATATGCAAATCCTACCTGGTCAGATCATACATCAAGGTTAGCCTTTTAAATTTGTCTATGAATTTTCCCGGAACCTCTGAAAACTGTTTTAGTTTTTCCTTGCATATGGCTAATTCAGATATAGAAAAGTGTACACGTACCTATATAGTGTGGGGAAAAGAAAGAGAGATCAGACTGTTACTGTGTCTATGTAGAAAGAAGTCGACATAAGACACTCCATTTTGTTCTGTACTAAGAAAAATTCTTCTGCCTTGAGAGGCTGTTAATCTGTAACCCTAGCCCCAACCCTGTGCTCACAGAAACATGTGCTGTGTCGACCCAAGGTTTAATGGATTTAGGGATATGCAGGATGTGCTTTGTTAAACAAATGCTTTAAGGCAGCATGCTTGTTAAACCCTATTCTCAAGTACCCAGGGACACAAAACACTGCGGAAGGCCACAGGGACCACTGCCTAGGAAAGCCAGGTATTGTCCAAGGTTTCTCCCCATGTGATAGTCTGAAATATGGCCTCATGGGAAGGGAAGGACACGACCATCCGCCAGCCCGACACCTGTAAAGGGTCTGTGCTGAGGAGGATTAATAAAAGAGGAAGGCCTTTTTGCAGTTGAGATAAGACAAAGCCATCTGTCTCTTGCTCGTCCCTGGGCAATGGACTGTCTCAGTGTAAAACCCGATTGTATATTCCATCTACTGAGATAGGAGAAAACTGCCTTACGGCTGGAGGTGAGACATGCTGGAGGCAATACTGCTCTTTAAGGCACTGAGATGTTTATGTATATGCACATCAAAAGCACAGCACTTTTTTCTTTACCTTGTTTATGATGCAGAGACATTTGTTCACATGTTTTCTTGCTGACCCTCTCTCCACTATTACCCTATTGTCCTACCACATCCCCCTCTCAGAGAAATGCCCGATAATGATCAATAAATACTAAGGAAAGTCAGAGACTGGTGCCGGCGTGGGTCCTCCGTATGCTGAGCGCTGGTCCCCTGGGCCCACTTTTTCTCTATACTTTGTCTCTGCGTCTCTTTTCACAAGTATCTCGTTCCACCTGACGAGAAACGCCCACAGGTGTGGAGGGACAGGCCACTTCTTCAATATACTGTCCCTATTATCATCTGTCACTTCCCAGAGAGGGCAAACATTCAACTTTGCCAGCTGATAAGAGGCCCCACTGCATGTTGTTCTGGTGAAGCTAGGGTGTTTCGAGAGTGGGGTATGTACGTAAGACAGGACTCGAAGGGCAGGGAGAAGATGATGACCGGACACTAGATAACCCTGGAAAACTAGAAGAAATTAATAACATGTTGCACACCTCACTAGAACTGGAAGGAGTCTAACTGTGTTCTTATGGGGTGCTTGGACTGGAAGGGGGAGTTCAGCCCCAGCTAAGAAAAGCCTAATATTAAGAGGCACTTGTATTAAAAGGGTAATCAATTACATGCCGTCCCTATTTTATCTTTTCCTGCATCAAACATATAGAAGTCCATTTTAATTTTTTATCCTGACCAAGCATCAGAGAAGCCTGTATATAATGTATTTCCTCTCTCTTAGTTTCTCTTCTATAAAACAAATTAAGCTGCAAAATAGGAGTCAGATCAAACAGGGGAAATGGGAAGGCTGTAACTTGTATATTGTAATGTATTAGTCCATTTTCACACTGCTATGACAAAAATGACAAAACTCTCTCAGGAAAAAAGTGACATGCTGGGTTTAGAAAGTAGGGTCCAGCTGCCCTATACCAGCTGATCAAAGATGGCGTTATGGTTAAGAAATGAGAGAAAACTGTTAAGAAAAAGTCTCATGTTCTCCATCTTGAGGGTAATTGTTTGCAGAGGGTTGTCATAAAAGAGGCTGTCACTAAACAGGCATATCTGATCTTATCATGTAGAGCTCTTAAATACCACATTTCAACTTCTAGTCATAATGATGGCGAGGTTACTGCTGATCTTTTCTGATAATTAAGGTACAAAAATACTAGGTCCCGAGACAATTCTTTTTTTCAGTGTCACTTGGACCAGTGGCAAATTAAACAAGCAGTCAGTTAAGAGTCAGAGGATCGCTGAAGAAAGTAAAACTAAACTGTTTGGGGCCTCTGTCCTGGGGCAGCCTCCAGGCTATTACAAAACAGAGGCGGTGAGCAGAATGGTGACAAGATGTAGAGCACTCAGGTAAGGGACAGAGAGCACAAGGTGGACAGTCCAAAAAGAGAAAGTGGCAAACATCTTATTTAGCCAAATCCATTCTTCTCAATATACCCCAGGGCCTCTAACCCTGTGGGCTTGGCCTCTAATCTGAGTATGATAATAGTGGATAATCATTCTTGCCCACCAGAATGGCTTCACGATTCTAAAAGACAGCACACTTGCCAGGTGTCAGCTGACTGATTCTGTGTAGATTGTTTTCCTTGGAGTGGGGGTCTTGTCTTGGTGTCCGTTCACGGTGTTGCTGAAAGATGTTGCTGGAAAAGAGGGTCCTGATACAGACCACAAATTAGGATTCTTAGATCTTGTGCAGGAAAAAATTTGAGGTGAGTCAGAGAGCACAGTGAAAGAAGCAAGTTTATTAGAAATTATTCCATTACAGAGTTGGACATCCTCAGAAAACAAGAGCAGGAATGCATTGTCTTTTGTTAGTATCTCTACTTATAAGTAACTATAAAGAGAAAGAGTTATAATTAAACTTGGAAGGTGCAGATGTAGTCACTAAAGTCGGGGCTATTGATTTTAACAATAACCATTAACCCATTGACCTAAGCTAGCTCATTAATAATATCCTTACAAAAAAATGCTGCATTCCTAGGACATTTATACATTTTTCAGGCTTGGTGGAAGATGTCTTGTATGATCACACATATTCTGCAATTGTAATTTGTGGCCAGTTAAAAAATGTGACTATTTTCAGACCATGAACATTAACCTTCTAGATGCCTTGTGAGTACCTATCTACTCATATTAAGATAGAATATTCGCTCTCCCTCTCCCTCTCCCTCTCCCTCTCCCTCTCCCTCTCCCTCTCCCTCTCCCTCTCCCTCCTCTCCCTCTCCCTCTCCCTCTCTCCCCACGGTCTCCCTCTCCCTCTCTTTCCACGGTCTCCCTCTGATGCCGAGCGGAAGCTGGACTGTACTGCTGCCTTCTCGGCTCACTGCAACTCCCTGCCTGATTCTCCTGCCTCAGCCTGCTGACTGCCTGTGATTGCAGGCACGCGCCGCCACGCCTGACTGGTTTTCATATTTTTTTGGTGGAGACGGGGTTTCGCTGTGTTGGCCGGGCTGGTCTCCAGCTCCTAACCGCGAGTGATCCGCCAGCCTCGGCCTCCTGAGGTGCCAGGATTGCAGACGGAGTCTGGTTCACTCAGTGCTCAATGGTGCCCAGGCTGGAGTGCAGTGGCATGATCTCAGCTCGCTACAACCTCCACCTCCCAGCTGCCTGCCTTGGCCTCCCAAAGTGCCTAGAGTGCAGCCTTTGCCTGGCCGCCACCCTGTCTGGGAAGTGAGGAGCATCTCTGCCTGGCCGCCCATCGTCTGGGATGTGAGGAGCCCCTCTGCCTGGCTGCCCTGTCTGGAAAGTGAAGAGCGTCTCTTCCCGGCCGCCATCCCATCTAGGAAGTGAGGAGCGTCTCTGCGCGGCCGCCCATCGTCTGAGATGTGGGGAGCGTCTCTGCCCCGCCGCCCCGTCTGGGATTTGAGGAGCGCCTCTGCCCAGCCGTGACCCCGTCTGGGAGGTGAGGAGCGTCTCTGCCCAGCCACCCTGTCTGAGAAGTGAGGAGACCCTCCGCCTGGCAGCCGCCCCATCTGAGAAGTGAGGAGACCCTCTGCCCGGCAGCCACCCCGTCTGGGAAGTGAGGAGCATCTCCGCCCAGCAGCCACCCCGTCCGGGAGGGAGGTGGGGGTCAGCCCCTGCCAGGCCAGCCGCCCCGTCCGGGAGGGAGGTGGGGGGGTCAGCGCCCCGCCCGGCCAGCCGCCCCGTCCGGGAGGGAGGTGGGGGGTCAGCCCCCCGCCCGGCCAGCCACCCCGCCCGGGAGGGAGGTGGGGGGGTCAGCCCCCCACCTGGCCAGCCACCCCATCCGGGAGGTGAGGGGCGCCTCTGCCCAGTTGCCCCTACTGGGAAGTGAGGAGCCCCTCTGCCCGGCCACCACCCCGTCTGAGAGGTGTACCCAACAGCTCATTGAGAACGGCCATGATGACAATGGCGGTTTTGTGGAATAGAAAGGGGGGAAAGGTGGGGAAAAGATTGAGAAATCTGATGGTTGCCGTGTCTGTGTAGAAAGAAGTAGACATGGGAGACTTTTCATTTTGTTCTGTACTAAGAAAAATTCTTCTGCCTTGGGATACTGTTGATCTGTGACCTTACCCCCAACCCTGTGCTCTCTGAAACATGTGCTGTGTCCACTCAGTGTTAAATGGATTAAGGGCGGTGCAAGGTGTGCTTTGTTAAACAGATGCTTGAAGGCAGCATGCTCGTTAAGAGTCATCACCACTCCTTAATCTCAAGTACCCAGTGACCCAAACACTGCGGAAGGCCGCGGGGTCCTCTGCCTAGGAGAACCAGAGACCTTTGTTCACTTGTTTATCTGCTGACCTTCCCTCCACTATTGTCCTGTGACCCTGCCAAATCCCCCTCTGCGAGAAACACCCAAGAATGATCAATAAAAAAAATAATAATAATTTAAAAAAAAAATTAGCCGGGCATGTTGGTGTGCACCTGTAATCCCAGCTATTCAGGAGGCTGAGGTGAGAGGATCGCTTGTGCTCAGAAGGCCAAGACTGCAGTGAGTCTCGTTTGTGCCACTGCACTCCAGCCTTGGTGGAGTGCACTCAGAGCATATGAGCTCTGAGCACGTGAACTTCAGGAAGCATGAGAGCATGGGCTTCCTTCAGCCAAAGCACTGAGTCTCTGGCATCCCTTCTGTGGTTTTCCTGTCTCACACATGTAACCCAGATCTAATCATGAGGAAACATCAGATGCGCCTAAATGCAAGGGACATTCTATAAAATGGCCTACCTGGATTCTTTAAAAAATCAGCATTAAGAAAGGCAAAGACTGGGCTGGGCGTGGTGGCTGCCACCTGTAATCCCAGCACTTTGGGAGGCTGAGGCAGGAGGATCACTTGAGCCCAGGAGTTCTAGCCTGAGCAACATAGTGAGACCCCTTTTCTTAAAAAAAAAAAAAGTCTCCTTAATCTCTGCGTGAATTGTGTGCAATAATAAAAAATAAAAATACAAAAGAAAGACAAAAAAAAAGAATATTCTAGTCATGTTTATTAAACTAGAAGCTAGGTAACCATGAGTTCCTCTAACACAGCAAGTCTACTCCTCAAGGAGAAAATGTATTTCTCAGGAATTTTGTGCATTTTGTTTGATGGCATTTGGTATGTTTACCAAAATGGCAGTAAAGAGTGAAATTAGTCCTCAAAGATTTCTCAAGATTGGATATAAAGTAAACAAAATGATTATAGTTAATATACAAGTTGATATAGTTGATATTCAAAAGAAATTTTGTTTAAAACACAATGAAATTTTTATTTTTACTTATTTTTTATTATTATTATTATTATTATTATTATTATTATTATTATTATTATTATTTTGAGGCAGAGTCTTGCTCTGTTGCCCAGGCTGCAGTGCAGTGCACTATCTTGGCTCACTGAAACTTGCGCCTCCCGGATTCAAGCAATTCTCCTGCCTCAGCCTCCCAAGTAGCTGGGATTACAGGCATGAATCACCACACCCAGCTAATATTTGTATCTTTAATAGAGATGGGGTTTCACTCTGTTGGCCAGGCTGGTCTCGAACCCCTGACAACAAGCGATCTGCCCACCTTGGCCTCCCAAATTGCTGGGATTACAGGCAAGAGCCACCACTCCCAGCAACAATGAGGTTTTTAAATAATTCTGACTTCCTGCTGTTGAGCAGGGAGCTGAGCAAATTCAACAGATTATGGGCCTAAACTAGGGGAAGACTGAGGACAAACTCTAGAACACATGTGATTAAATTAATTACAATGGAAACTAAATCAAATTTAATAAGGCTGTACCTCTTAGTTGCAAGATGTTTCCCCTCATTTTGAAATGTGGTGTTATTCCATGGAAAAGAAAACTAGTGTTTATCTCCAGAGTAAAGAACAGGGCTCCCTGCAGGGATTGATTGACTGAGAACTATGGCTCAGGATTAAAAATCCTTCTTTTTTCCATTTATAAACTAAAAATAAATTTCTAAACTCCTGTTGACTAAATGGACCTCTCTTCTTGGATAAGGACATTCCAAAGTTAACCTGAAAAGCTAGTTCAAGCCATGGGTCACACATGCCTCATTATACTCTCCTCCCTTTGGTTTTAATTTTAATTTTAATTTCAATTTTTAATTTATTTTGTGGGTACATAGTTGGTGTATATATTTATGGGGGTACATGACATACTTTGATGCAGTCATGCAATGAGTAATACATAATAAAAAACGTGGTATCTGTCCCCTCAAGCATTTATAGCTTGTGTTATAAACAATCCAATTATACTCTTTTAGTTTTTTTAAATGTGGAATTAAATTATTTTTGACTATAATCACCCTGTTGTGCTATCAAATGCTGTCTTATTCATTCTTTCTAACAATTGTTTTTTTACACATTTAGCATCCCCACTATCCCCTTGTTCCCTCCTTGCCCTTCCCAGCCTCTGGTAACCATCCTTATACTCTCTATCTCTATGACACCAATTGTTTTGAATTTTAGCACCCACAAATAAGTGAGACGATGTGACATTTGTATTTCTGTGCCTGGCATTTCACTTAACATAAAGACTTTCGGTTCCATTTATGTTATTGCAAATGACAGGCTCTCATTCTTTCTTACAGCTGAATAGTATTCCATTGCGTATATGTACCACGTTTTCTCTATCCAGTCATCTGTTGATGGACATTTAGGTTCCTTCCAAATCTTGGCTATTATAAACCCTGCTGTAGCAAACATGAGAGTGCCAATAGGTCTTTGATTTACCAATTTTATTTCTTGTAGGCATATACTGAGCAGTGGGATTCCTGGACCATACAGTAGCTCTATTTTTAATTATATTGGGAACATCCAAACTATCCTTAAATGTGCTCCCAACAGCAGTGTACAAGGGTTCCCTTCACTCCACATGATCACCAGCATTTGTTTTTCACTGACTTCTGGATAAAAGCCACCTTAACTGGGGTGAAATGATATCTCATTTTGGGTTTGATTTGCATTTCTATGATGATCAGTAATGTGGAGCACCTTTTCATTTGTCTGTTTGACATTTGTATGTCTTCTTTTCATAAATGTCTATTTAAATTTTTTGTCCACTCTTTATTTGGGTTATTACATTTTT
This sequence comes from Homo sapiens, assembly GCF_000001405.40. Classification (NCBI taxonomy): domain Eukaryota; kingdom Metazoa; phylum Chordata; class Mammalia; order Primates; family Hominidae; genus Homo; species Homo sapiens. The sequence continues at coordinate 30,843,669 of NC_000020.11, read as the reverse complement.
CTGTAGAATTTTTTGAACTCAATATATTGTAGTGTATTAGTCTGTTCCTGCACTGCTATAAAAAATTACCTGAGACTGTGTTATCTATTTATTTACTGAGATGAAGTCTTGATCTGTTGCCCAGGCTGAAGTGCAGTGGTGCAATCTTGGCTCACTGCAACCTCTACCTCCTGACTCAAGCAATTCTCTGCCTCAGCCTCCTGAGTAGCTGGGATTACAGACACCTGCCACCATGCCTGGCTAATTTTTATATTTTTAGTGGAGACGGGGTTTCACCATCATGGCCAGGCTGGTCTTGAACTCCTGGCCTCGTGATCCACCTGCCTCAGCCTCCCAAAATGGTGAGATTACAGGCATGAGCCACCACACCTGGCAAGACTGGGTAATTTATAAAGGAAATGGGTTTAATTAAATCACAGTTCCACATGGCCAGGGAGGCCTCAGGAAACTTACAATAATGGCAGATGGGGAAGCAGGCACCTCTTACATGACAGCAGGCGAGAGAGCATGTATGTGAAGCAAAGGGGGAAGAGTCCTTTATAAAACCATCAGATCTCATGAGAAATCACTCATTATCAGAAGAACAGCATGGGGGAAACCACCCCCATGATCCAATCACCTTCTACCAAGTCTCTCCCTCAACATCTGGGGATTACAATTCAATATGAGATTTGGGTGGGGACACAAATCCTAACCATATCATGTAGCTATTAATTGCTTTTCAGATGGATAATTTACAAATATTTTCTCCCATTCTGTGGATTTTCTCTTCACTTTGTTTCTTGTTTCCTTCACTTTAAAAAGGCTTTCTGACTTTCTGTAATCCTATTTGTCCATGTTTGTTTTGGTTGTCTGTGCTTCTGGGGCATTATTTAAGGAATTTTTGCCCAAATCAATGACCTAAAGAGTTTCCCCAATGTTTTTTTCTAAAAGTTTGATGGTTTGAGGCGTTAGGTTTAAGTCTTTAATTCATTTTAATTTGATTTTTGTAAGTGGCAAGAAATAGAGTTCTAGTTTTATTCTTCTGCCTATGGCTTGCCAGTTTTCCCAGCCCTATTTATTACAAAAGCTGTCTCATTTTTTATTGTATGCTCTTGACACTTTTATTGAAAATTAATTTAGCTGTCCCTCCCATAGGATTCCAGAACACTGCTATGAGGGTCTGAATGTTTGTCCCTTGCATAGGACTCCAGAACACTGTTGCTGGGTTCTAAACGTTTGTCACATAGGATTTCAGAACACTGCTACGAGGGTCTGAATGTTTGTTCCTCACAGGGGATTCCAGAACACTCCTGCTGTGGTCTGAAGGTTTGTCCCTCACATAGGATTCCAGAACACTGCTATGAGGGTCTGAATGTTTGTCCCTCACACAGAATGCCAGTTTTACCAGCCCTATTTATTACAAAAACTGTCTTATTTTTTATTGTATGTTCTTGGCACTTTTGTTGAAAATTAATTTAACTGTATGAGTATCTTTCTAAGGTCTCTATTTCGTTCTATCTGTCTTTATGTCTGTTTTTATGCTAGTGTCATGTTGTTTTAATTAGTATAATTTAAAACCAGGTAATGGAATTCCTCCAGTTTTGTTTTATATACTCAGCATAGCTTTGACTTTGTGATGTTTCCATATAAATTTCAGAATTTTTTTTCTATATCTGTGAGGAATGTCTTCTTCTTCTTCTTCTTCTTTTTTTTTTTTTAGATGGCGTCTTGCTCTGTCACCTAGACTGGAGTGCAGTGATGTGATCTCGGCACACTGTAACCTCCACCTCCTGGGTTCAAGCAACTTTTTGCCTCAGCCTCCTGAATAGCTGGGATTACAGACACCTGCCACCATGCCTGGCTAATTTTTTTGTATTTTTAGTAGTGGTGGGGTTTCACCAAGTTGGCCAGGCTGGTCTTGAACTCCTTACCTCGTGATCCACAAAATTCGGCCTCCCAAAGTGCTGAGACTACAGGCATGAGCCACTGCCCCTGGCCTGTTATTTTGATAGAGATGGAATGAAATGAATAGATTCCTATGGATTGTATGGACGTTTTTTAAAAAATACTGATTCTTCCAATCTATGAACATAAAAATATCTTTCCAACTTTTGGGTCCTTTTTCATTTCTTTTATCAGTGTTTTACGGTTTTAATTGTTGAGAACTTTTATTTCTTTGGTAAATTCCTACAAATTTTGTTTTATTTGTGGCTACTGCAAATAGTATTACATTTTTGAATTCTTTTTCAGTTTGTTGACTGTTGGCGTAAAGAAACCCTACTGATTTGTATATGTTGATTTTGTATTCTGCAAATTGACTCAAGTTATTACCTCTAATAGTTTTTGGTGGATGTATTAGGCCATTCTCATATTGCTATAAAAAGTAATCAGTGACTGGTTAATTTATAAAGAAAATAGGTTTAATTGGTTCATGGTTCTACAGGCTGTACAGAAAGCATAGCACTGGCTTCTGCTTCTGGGGAAGCCTCTGACAATTGACAAGGTGAAAAATAAATCCAGTGCTTGCACATCACATGGTAAGTGCGAGGGCAGGGGGGAAGTGCTACACACACTTGTAGATAACCAGCTCTGATAAAAACTTACTATTGTGGGAATGGCACCAAAGGAAATGATGCCAAACTGTTCATGGAAATCTTGCCCTCATGATTCAATCACCTCCCCTCTAGGCCCACTTCCAACATTGAGGATTATATTTCAATATAAGATTTTGGTGGGAATACACATCCAAACTGTATCATTTTGCCCCTGGCCATTCCAAATCTCATATCCTTCTCATATTTCAGAATACAATCATGACTTCCCAATAATCCCCAAAATCTTAACTAGTTTCAGTCTTAACTCAAAAGTCAAAAGTCTCATCTAAGACAAAGCTAATTTCTTCCTCCTATAAGCCTGTAAAATAAAAAACAAGTTAGATTCTTCCAAGATACAAATGAGGCAGAGGCATTGGGTAAATACTCCTATTCTAAAAGGAAGAAATCAGCCAAAAGAAAGGGGCCACAGGACCCATGAAATTCTGAAACCCAGAAGGGCAGTTATTCAATTGTAAGGCTCTAAAATAATTATTTTTCACCCTGTGTTCCATTTCCAGGGCACGCCAATGCCTTGGGAAGATTCTACCTTGTGACTTTGCATGGTTCAGCCCCCACAGCTGCTCTCATGGGCTGGCATTCTGTGCCTCTGGCTTTTCAAGGTGCAAGGTGCAGGCTGTAGCTAGATCTACCATTCTGGGGTCTGGAGGACAGTGATCCTCTCCTCACAGATCTACTAGGCCATGACCCAGTGGGGAGACGGCCTGGGGACTGTCACCCTACATTTCTTTTCTCCATTGTTTTAGTAGAGGATCTCCATGAGGGCTCCACCCCTGCAGCATGCTTCTGCCTGCACATCCTGGCTTTTTCATACATCCTGTGAAATAAAGGTGGAGGCTCCCAAGTCTCAACTACTTACATTTGGGAAACCCACAGGCCTAACACCACATGGAAGCTACCAAGGTTATGGCTTGCACCCTCTGAAGCAGTGACTGGAGTTGTAACTGGGTCAATTTGACCTACACCTGGAGCTGAAGCAGTGGCCAGGATGCAGGAGCCTTGTTCCAAAGCTACCCAAGGCAGCAGTTCCTGGACCTGATCCCAGAAACTATTCTCTTCTTTTAGGCCTCAGGGCCTGTGATGGGGGGGCTGCCTTTTAGATTTCTAAAATGCCTTCAATTCCTCTTTCCCATTGTCTTGGCTATCAACACTTGCTTTTTTTTAGGTTATACAAATATCTCTAACAAGTGGTTGACCCATATCCAGCTTGAGTTCCTCTCATGAAAGCTTTTTATATTTCAGCCACATGACTAGGCTGCAAAGTTTTCAAGCTTTTACACTATGCTTCTTGTGTAAGTATAAGTTACTACTTATTTTATTTTTATTTTTTTGCTAGAACATGTGAGCATAGGTTGTTAGAAGCAGCCAGTCCATATCACAAATGCTTTGCTGCTTAGATATTTTTCCAACAGAAACCTTAAATCATCAATTTCAAACTTTTATATATCCCTAGAGCATGACAGAAATTCAGCCAACCACTTTGCTAAGACAACGTGCATGACCTTTGTTTCAGTCCCAATAAGTTTCTAGTTTTCATCTGAGACCTCCTTAGCCCAGCCTTCACTGTCCAGATCACTATCAGCATTTTGGTCACAGACATTCAACCAATCTCTAAGAAAATCTCAACTTTCCCTCATTTTTCTGTCTTACAGAAAATTGTCTACAGGCTTTAGAGAAGACATAGTACTGGAATATGCTTCTGGGGAGGTCTCTGGAAGTTTACAGTCATGGCAGAAGTTGAAGCAGAATCTTGCACATCACAGGGCAAAAAGCAGGAGCAAGAAACAGAGGGACGAGTTGTTACACAGTTTTAAATAACCAGATCTTATGGGAACTCACTCACTATCATGAGGATAGCACCAAATGGGATGGTGCTAAGCCATTTATGAGTAATCCACCCCAATGGTTAAATCACCTTTCACCAGGCCCATCTCCAACAATGAGAATTATATTTAAATATGAGATTTGGGAGGGGACACACATTCAAACCTTATCAGAGGAGTCTTTATACTTTTTCCAATATAACATTATAACATTGGCAAAAAAAAAAAAAAAAAAGGTAATTTGACTTCTTTTCCAATTGGGATGCATTTTATTGCTTTCTCCTGTCTGATTGCTCCAGATAGGACTTTCAGCATTATGTTGAATAACAGTGGTAAAAGTGGACATTCTTGTCATCTTCCAGATTTTAGAGGAAAGGCTTTTAGTTTTTCCCCACTTAGTGTGATACTAGCTGTGGGTCTGTCATGTATGACTTTTATTATGTTGAGGTATGTTCATTCCATACCCAGTTTTCAAAGGGTTTTTATTATTAAAGAATATTAAATTTTATCAAAACTTTTTTAGCATAATTGAAATGATTATATGGATTTTGTCTGTGTTTTTTGTTTTGTTTTGTTTTGTTTTTTGTTTTTTTTTTTTGAGATGAAGTCTCCCTCTGTCACCCAGGCTGGAGTGCAATGGCATGATCTCAGCTCAATGCAAACTCTGCCTCCCTGATTCAAGTGATTCTCCTTCTTCAGCCTCCCGAGTAGCTGGGTTTACAGGTGCTCACCACCATGCCTGGCTAATTTTTGTATTTTTAGTACAGATGGGGCTTTGCCATGCTGGCCAGACTGGTTTCAAACTCCTGACCCCAGGTGATCCACCCACCTCGGCTTCCCAAATTGCTGGGGTTACAGGTGTGATCCACTGTGCCTGGCCCCTTCATTCTCTTTATGTGATCTATCACATCGATTGATTTGCACATTGAACCATCCTTGCATCCCTGGGATAAATCCCACTTGGTCATTATGAATTACCTATTTATGTATTGTTGAATTCAGTTTTCTAGGTGTTTTGCAAATTTTTGCACCAATATTCTCAGATATGGGCCTGTAGTTTGCTTTTTTTAATATGTCTTTGTCTGGTTTTGATATCAAGGGTAATACTAGCCTCAAAGAATGAGTTCGGAAATGTTCTTTCCTTCTCTAGTTTTCAGTCTGGTCCTACAGACTTTTTTATTAAGGTTTTAATTTTGTTAATCGTTATTGGTCTGTTCAGGTTTTAGATTTTTTCCTAGTTCAATCTTGGTAAGTTGTGTGTGTCTAAGAATTAATTTCCTCTAGGTTTTCTAATTTGTTGGCATACAATTGCTGATAGTATTCACTAATGATCCTTTGCTTTTCTGAAGTGTTACTTTTAATGTCTCCTTTTTCACCTCTGATTTTACTAATTTGTATCTTTTCTGTTTTTTAGTTAGCCTGTTTAAATATTTGTCAATTGTTTCACTTTTCAAAAAATCAACTTTTTCTTTCATTAATTCTTTACATTATTTTTGTCATTTTAACTTTATCTACTTCTGCTCTAATCTTTACTATTTCTTTTCTTCTAATTTTGGGTTAGGTTTGGTCTTTTTATTCTAATTAATTAAGATGTATTTTTAGGTTATTTATTTGAAGTCTTTCTGTTTTTTATGTAGGCACTTACAGTTATAAATTTTCCTTTTATAACAGTACCTCTTTTACTATACTGCATAGGATTTTCTATGTTATGTTTCCATTATCATTTGTTTCAAGAAATTTTTCTATTTTCTTCTTAACTTTTTTATTGACCTACTAATCATTCAGGAGCATATTGTTTAATGTCCATGTGTTTGTATAGTTTCTTAAATTCCTTTTTTAATTGATTTCTAGTTTTATCCCCTGTAGTCAGAGAAAATGCTTGATATTTCTTCAATTTTTTGGAATGTTTTTAGACTTGTTACTTAACATATGGTCTATCCTTTAAAATAACCCATGTGCTGGGGAGAAAAATGTGTATTCTGCAGCTGTTGGAAGAAATTTTCTGTAAATATCTATTAGGTTCATTTGTTCTATAGTACAGATTAAGTCTGACGTTTCTTTGTTTATTTTCTGTCTGGAAGGTCTATCCAATGACTAAAGTGGGGTGTTGAAGTGTCCAGCCATTATTGTATTGAGATCTTTTTCTTTAGCTCTTGTAATACTTGCTTCATTTATCTAGATGCTTTAGTGTTGGGTGCATATATATTTTCAATTATTATATCCTCTTGATGAATTGATCTCTTTATTATTATATAATGACCTTTTAATTTCTTCCTACAGTCTTTTGTTGAAATCTATTTTTGTCTGGTATAAGTATGGCTATTTCTGCTTTTGTTGGTCTCTATTGGCATGGAATAATTTTTCCATCCTTTTATTTTCAGTCTAAATGTATCTTTATAGGTAAAGTGTGTTTTTTTGGTAGGTCACAGATTATTGTTCTGCTTCTCTATCCATTCATCCACTATTTTTCTTTTGACTGGAGTATACAGTTCATTTAAATTCAATGTTATCAGTGATAAGCACTTACTCCTGCAATTTTTTATTTGTTTTCTGATTGATTTTTGTCCTCTCTTCCTTCTTTCCTTTCTTCCTGTCTTCCTTTTAGTGAAGGTGATTTCTCCTGAATTATAATCTAATTTCTTGCTTTTTACTTTTTGTACATCTGTGGTACACTTTTTGACTTGAAATTACCATAAGGCTTGAAAATAATATAATACATGATTTTAGACTGTGGACAATTTAACACTGATTGCATAAACAAAGAAACAAGCAAAACAGAGTTTGGAGCCAAGATGGCCGAATAGCAAGAGCTCCAGTCTACAGCTCCCAGAATGAGCGACACAGAAGATGGGTGATTTCTGCATTTGCAAATGAGGTACCAGGTTCATCTCACTGTGGAGTGTCAGACAGAGGGTGCAGCACAGTGGGTACAGTGCACTGAGCATGAGCAGAAGCAAGGTTAGACATCACCTCACCCGGGAAGCACAAGGGGTCAGAGAATTCCCTTTCCTAGTCAAAGAAAGGGGTGACAGATGGCACCTGGAAAATTGGGTCACTCTCACCCTAATACTGCACTTTTCCAATGGTCTTAGCAAACGGCACACCAGGAGATTATATCTCACACATGGCTTGGAGGGTCCTACGCACAAAGAGCCTCACTCATTGCTAGCACAGAAGTCTGAGATCAAACTGCAAGGTGGCAGCGAGGCTGGGGGTGGGTACCCTGCCATTGCTGAGGCTTGAGTAGGTAAAGCAGCCTGGAAGCTCGAGCTGGGTGAAGCCCACTTCAGCTCAAGGAGGCCTGCCTGGCTGTGTAGACTCCACCTCTGGGGGCAGGGCATAGCCAAACAAAAGGCAGCAGAAATCTCTGCAGACTTAAATGTCCCTGTCTGACAGATTTGAAGAGAGTAGTGATTCTCCCAGCATGCAGCTGGAGATCTGAGAATGGGCAGATTGCCTCCTCAACTGGGTCCCTGAACCCTGAGTAGCCTAACTGGGAGGCACCCCCAGTAGGGGCGGACTGCCACCTAACATGGCCAGGTACTCCTGTGAGACAAAACTTCCAGAGGAACGATCAAGCAGCAGCACTTCCGGATCAGCAATATCTGCTGTTCTGCAGCCACTGCTGCTGATACGCAGGCAAACAGGGTCAGCAGTGGACCTCCAGCAGACTCTAACAGACCTGCAGCTGAGGGTCCTGTCTGTTAGAAGGAAAACTAACAAACAGAAAGGACATCCACGCCAAAACCCCATCTTTACATCACCATCATCAAAGACCAAAGGTAGATAAAACCACAAAGACGGGGAAAAAACAACAGAAAAACTGGAAACTCTAAAAATCAAAGTGCCTCTCCTCCTCCAAAGGAATGCAGCTCCTCACCAGCAACGGAACAAAGCTGGATGGAGAATGACTTTGACGAGTTGAGAAAAGAAGGCTTCAGACGATCAAACTACTCCAAGCTAAAGGAGAAAGTTTGAACCCATAGCAAAGAAGTTAAAAACCTTGAAAAAAAATTAGATGAATGGCTAAGTAGAATAAACAAAGCAAAGAAGCCCTTAAAGGACCTGATGGAGCTGAAAACCATGGCATGAGAAATACGTGATGAATGCCCAAGCCTCAGTAGCTGATTCAATCAACCAGAAGAAAGGGTATCAGTGATGGAAGATGAAATGAATGAAATGAAGTGAGAAGAGAAGTTTAGAGAAAAAAGAATAAAAAGAAATGAACAATGCCTCCAAGAACTATGGGACTATGTGAAAAGACCAAATCTACATCTGATTGGTGTACCTGAAAGTGACAGGGAGAATGGAACCAAGTTGGAAAACACTCTGCAGGATATTATCCAGGAGAACTTCCCCAATCTAGCAAGGCAGGCCAACATTCAGATTCAGGAAATACAGAGAATGCCACAAAGATACTCCTTGAGAAGAGCAACTCCAAGAAACATAATTGTCAGATTCACCAAAGTTGAAATGAGGAAAAAAATGTTAAGGGCAGCCAGAGAGAAAGGTCAGGTTACCCACAAAGGGAAGCCCATCACACTAACAGCTGATCTATCAGCAGAAACTTTACAAGCCAGAAGAGAGTGGGGGCCAATATTCATCATTCTTAAATAAAAGAATTTTCAACCCAGAATTTCATATCCAGCCAAACTAAGCTTCATAAGTGAAGGAAAAATAAAATACTTTACAGACAAGCAAATGCTGAGAGATTTTGTCACCGTCAGGTCTGCCCTAAAAGAGCTCCTGAAGGAAGTGCTAAACATGGAAAGGAACAACCGGTACCAGTCACTGCAAAAATGCCAAATTGTAAAGACCGTCAATGTTAGGAAGAAACTGCACCAACTAACGAGCAAAATAACCAGCTAACATCATCATGACAGGATCAAATTCACACATAACAATATTAACCTCAAATGTAAATGGGCTAAATGCTCCAATTAAAAGACACAGACTGGCAAATTGGATAAACACTCAAGACCAATCCATGTGCTGTATTCAGGAAACCTATCTCATATGCAGAGACACACACAGTCTCAAAATAAAGGGATGGAGGAAGATCTACCAAGCAAATGGAAAGCAAAAAAAAGGCAGGGGTTGCAATCCTAGTCTCTGATAAAACAGATTTTAAACCAGCAAAGATCAAAAGAGACAACGAAGGCCATGACATAATGATAAAGGGATCAATTCAACAAGAAGAGCTAATTATCCTAAATATATATGCACCCAATACAGGAGCATCCAGATTCATAAAGCAAGTCCTTAGAGACCTACAAAGAGACTTAGACTCCCACACAATAATAATGGGAGACTTTAACACTCCACTGTCAATATTAGACAGATCAATGAGACAGAAAGTTAACAAGGATATCCAGGAATTGAACTCAGCTCTACACCAAGCAGACCTAATAGGCATCTGCACAACTCTCCACCCCAAATCAACAGAATACACATTCTTTTCAGCACCACACCACACCTATTCCAAAATTGACCACATACTTGGAAGTAAAGCACTCCTCAGCAAATGTAAAAGAACAGAAATCGTAACAAACTGTCTCTCAGACCACAGTGCAATCAAACTAGAACTCAGGATTAAGAAACTCACTCAAAACCGCTCAACTACATGGAAACTGAACAACCTGCTCCTGAATGACTACTGGGTACATAACGAAATGAAGGCAGAAATAAAGATGTTCTTTGAAACCAACGAGAACAAAGACACAACATACCAGAATCTCTGGGACGCATTCAAAGTCGTGTGTACAGGGAAATTTATAGCACTAAATGCCCACAAGAGAAAGCAGGAAAGATCAAATATGGGCACCCTAATATCACAATTAAAAGAACTAGAAAAGCAAGAGCAAACACATTCAAAAGCTAGCAGAAGGCAAGAAATAACTAAAATCAGAGCAGAACTGAAGGAAATAGAGACACAAAAAACCCTTCAAAAAATCAATGAATCCAGGAGTTGGTTTTTTGAAAAGATCAACAAAATTGATAGACCACTAGCAAGACTAATAAAGAAGAAAAGGGAGAAGAATCAAATAGATGCAATAAATAATGATAAAGGTGATATCACCACCGATCCCACAGAAATACAAATTACCATCAGTGAATATTTTAAACACCTCTATGCAAATAAACTAGAAAATCTAGAAGAAATGGATAAATTCCTCGACACATGCACCCTCCCAAGACTAAACCAGGAAGAAGTTGAATCTCTGAATAGAACAATAACAGGCTCTGAAATTGAGGCAATAATCAATAGCTTACCAATCAAAAAAGCCTAGGACCAGATGGATTCACAGCCGAATTCTACCAGAGGTACAAGGAGGAGCTAGTACCATTTCTTCTGAAACTATTCCGATCAATAGAAAAAGAGGGAATCCTCCCTAACTCATTTTATGAGGCCAGCATCATCCTGATACCAAAGCCGGGCAGAGAGACAACCAAAAAAGAGAATTTTAGACCAATATCCTTGATGAACATTGATGCAAAAATCCTCAATAACATACTGGCAAACCGAATCCAGCAGCACATCAAAAAGCTTATCCACCATGATCAAGTGGGCTTCATCCCTGGGATGCAAGGCTGGTTAAATATACGCAAATCGATAAATGTAATCCAGCATATAAACAGAACCAAAGACAAAAACCATATGATTATCTCAACAGACGCAGAAAAGGCCTTTGCCAAAATTCAACAACTTTCATGCTAAAAACTCTCAATAAATTAGGTATTGATGGGACGTATCTCAAAATAATAAGAGCTATCTATGACAAACCCACAGCCAATGTCATACTGAATGGGCAAAAATTGGAAGCATTCTCTTTGAAAACTGACAGATGACAGGGATTCCCTCTCTCACCACTCCTATTCAACATAGTGTTGGAAGTTCTGGCCAGGGAAATCAGGCAGGAGAAGGAAATAAAGGGTATTCAATTAGGAAAGGAGGAAGTCAAATTGTTCCTGTTTGCAGATGACATGATTGTATATCCAGAAAACCCCATCATCTCAGCCCAAAATCTCAAGCTGATAAGCAACTTCAGCAAAGTCTCAGGATACAAAATCAATGTACAGAAATCACAAGCATTCTTATACACAAATAACAGACAAACAGAGAGCCAAATCATGAGTGAATTCGCATTCACAATTGCTTCAGAGAGAATAAAATACCTAGGAATCCAACTTACAAGGGATGTGAAGGACCTCTTCAGGGAGAGCTGCAAACCACTGTTCAATGAAATAAAAGAGGTTACAAACAAATGGAAGAACATTCCAAGCTCATGAGTAGGAAGAATCAATATCGTGAAAATGGCCATACTGCCCAAGGTAATTTACAGATTCAATGCCATCCCCATCAAGCTACCAATGTCTTTCTTCACAGAATTGGAAAAAACTACTTTAAAGTTCATATGTTTACTCTTTCTATTTGAGATTTTTGCACCCCATAATTACCATATTATAATAGTCAGTGTTTTTCCATGTGCTATTGCTAGTGAGTTCTGTACCGTCAGATGATTTCTTATTGCTCACTTACTTTTCTTCTTTTAGGTTAGGTTATCCCTGTAGCATTTCTTGTAGGACAGGTCTGGTGTTAATGAAATCCCTCAGTTTTTGTTTGTCGGAAAAAGTTCTTATTTTTCCATCAAGTTTAAAGGACGTTTTTGCCAGATACATTATTCTAAAGTAAAAGTCTTTTTTTCCTTCAGCTTTTTAAATATGTCATGCCAGTCTCCCAGCCTGTCAATTTTCCCCTGAAAAGTCTGCTGTCAGATGTATTGGAGTTCCACTGAAAGTTATCTGTTTCTCTTCTCTCGATGCTTTTAGAATCATTTCTTTATCCTTAACTTTTGGGAGTTCAGTTAAGTGCCTTGAGGTGGTCTTCTTTGGGTTAAATCTGCTTTATGTTCTGTAACTTTCTGTTACTCGAATGTTGATATCAAATGTTGAGGAATTGTTTAATATTATTTAATATTATTTATTTAAATAAATGTTCAACTCATCTCTTTTTCAACCTCCTCTTTAAGACCAATAACTCTTAGATTTGCTATTTTGAGGCTATTTTTTAAATTCTATAGGCATGCTTTATTTTGTATTCTTTTTTATCTCATCTGACTTTGTATTTTTAAATAGTCTGACTTCAAGTTCACTAAATCTATCTTCTCCTTGGTCAATTCTTTTAAGTAATTCTGATCCATTCTTCAGTATGACAATGGCATTTTAACTTCATAATTTCTGCTTTATTCTTTTTATTTCAATCTCATTGTTAAATTTATCTGATAGAATTTTGAATTCCTTCTCTGTCTTACATTGTACATTTCTCTGAATTACCTCAACCAGCTATTTTGGATTTCCTGTATGAAAGGTCACACATCTCTGTTTTTCCGGGATTTGTCCCTGGTGCTTTATTTAGCTTGTTTGGTGAGGTAATGTTTTCCTGGATGGCCTTGATACTTGTAGATGTTCATCTGTATCTGGGCATTGAAGAGTTCAGTCTTTATTGAAGTCTTCACAGTCTGGGCTTGTTAGTGCCCATTATCTTTGGGAACACTTTCCAGGTATTCAAAGAAACTTGGGCCCCAGACCCAATAGCAAAGTTGTTTATGCAAACACATAGAGGTACTGCCTTGGTGGCCTTGGATTAACATCAAGAAAAATTCTGTTGATTTATCAAGTAGAGACTCTTGTTCTCTTACCTTACTTTCTCTCAAATCAGCAGTCACTCTTTGTGTGCTGAGACATGTGAAGCTGGGGTTGGGGTAACATAAGCACTCCTGTGGCCACCACCACTGAGACTGTGCTGGTTCACACCTGAAGTAGGCACAGAACTTGGTCTCACTCAAGGCCCACTGCAAGCACTACTTGGCTACCATATAAGTTTATTCAAAGCCCTAGGACTCTGTGATTAATAGGTGGCAAAGACAGCCAGGTTTGTGTCTCTGCCTATAGGGTGGCAAGTTCCCCTAGCCATGAGTGGGTCCACAGATGTTACCTGGGAGCCAGAGATTAAAGCATAGGATCTTCAAAATTTACCTGCTCTTCTATTTTATTGTAGCTAACCTGGCACTTAGGGAATAAGACAAAGTATTTTCTACTCTTCCTTCCCCTGTCTGCAGGCAGAAGAGCCTCTTCTATGACTGCCAACACTACTGGCCCATGGGGGGTTTCCACCAAATCATCATCACTTTCTCACTTAAAGCCCAAGGACTCTTTAATTAGCTTGTGATAAATTCTGCAATGCCTGGGACTCGACCTTTGGCCCAGGGCAAGTGCAGAAATGCTGACCAAGAAGACTCTAGGCCTGGACTTAGGGACTCTAAGAATCCACTTGGTGCTCTACCCCACTGTGGTTGAGCTGGCATATCAGGTGCAATGCAGTGGATCCTTTACTTTCCCCCCTGCTTTTCTGAAACAGAAATCTTTCACCATAGCTACCACAGCTAGAAATGTACTGGGTCACACCTGAAGTTAGCGCTTCTCAGAGTCCAATGCCCATGTTGTATTACCTGGTTGTCACTGTTTTTTATTCTGGGTACAGGGGTTCTTTAGTCAGCAGGTGATGAATTCTGCCAGGTCTTTACTGACATGGCAGCACTGAGTTTAATGAAAAGTCCTCCAGTCACTGTGCTCTCCCTCTCCCAAATTCACAGGTTTTTCTGTGTTTTGTGGCTGCTGCTAGGTGGGAGTGGGGGAGTGGTATTGTGAGCACTCCCTTAGCTTTTCTGGCTGCTGTCTCAGTAGACCCCATTCTCCCCACCCTCCACATTCCACTGTCTCTGAGTCCAGCTCAGAATATGAATTGCCTAATAATTGAAGTCCTTGTGGCCCAGACTGCCCTTAAGTTCTTTTAGAGTCCAATAGCATGTCAACTCATGACGGCAAGACTTGTGAAAACTCAAGCTCCCAACACTAAGATGGGAGGTTTTCCTCTTTCTAAGGCCAATACAAGTGTTCCCCCCATTGGCAGATGTCAGCTGAGTACAGTCTGGTTCTGCTTTTCACTGTGACAGGGCAGTACTGAGTTTATTGCAAAGCCTCACAAACTCTGCTCTCCCTCTCCCAAACATACTATCTCTGCACGATGTAGCCACTACTGGTGGTTGAAAAAGAGGTGGCATCCGTGCCTCTAGACAATCTTTTATTTGTTTGTCTTCTTCAATGTCTGTTTCAGTGATATGAAGTTAATACCAGGTACTGTGATTACTCACCCAATTTTTGGTCCCTTTGACAGTGCTTCTTGAATGTAGTGAGTTGTGAAAATTTGGTGTTTTTGTGTGGTGGATGAGAATGTAGGCTTCTATTCTGCCCTCTTATTCTGTCTCTGCCTTAATTATTTTTAGATTCAGGGAGTATATTTGCAGGTTTATTACATGGATATATTGTGTGATGCTGAACAATGTGGGATATAATAGATCCCATCACCTAGGCAGTAAGCATAGCACTCATAGTTTATCACCCCCTGCCCTCCTCCTTCCCTCCTTCATCTAGTAGTTCTCAGTGTCTATTGCTGTCATCTTTATATTCATGAGTACCCCATGTTTAGATCCTTCTTATAGGCAAGAACATGTGGTATTTGGTTTTCTGTTCCTGTATTAATTTCCCTAGGATAATGGCCTCCAGACGTATGCATGTTGCTGCACAGGACATGATTGTATTCTTTTTAATGTGTGCGTAGTATTTTATGGTGTATATGTGGCACATATTTCTATCCAATTTATTGGTTCACACATAAGTTAATTCCATGCCTTCCCTATTGTGAATAGCAATATGACGCATATACAAGTGCATGTGGGGTTTCTTTTTGTAGAATTTTTAATTTTCTTTTGGATATATACTCAGCAATGGAATTGCTGGTTGAATAGTACATCTGTTTTAAATTCTTTGAAAAATCTCCAAACTGCTTTTCACAGTGGCTGAACTATTTACATTCTCACCAACAGTGTATAAGCATTTCATTTTCTCTGAAGTCTAACCAGAATTTGTTATTTTTTTTTTACTTTTTAATAGTAGCCATTCTGACTAATATGAGATGGTATCTCACATTGATTTGCATTTCTCTGATGATTAGTGATGTTGAACATTAAGAAAACAACCCCATTAAAACATTGACAAGGGACATAAGCAGACACTTCTCAAAAGAAGACAAGCCGGGCACAGCGGCTCACGCCTGTAATCCCAGCACTTTGGGAGGCTGGGGTGGGAGGATCACAAGGTCAGGAGATCGAGACCATCCTGGCTAACACGGTGAAACCCTGTCTCTACAAAAAATACAAAAAATTAGCCGGGCGTGATGGCGGGTGCCTGTAGTCCCAGCTACTCGGGAGGCTGAGGCAGGAGAATGGCGTGAACCCAGGAGGCAGAGCTTGCAGTGAGCCAAGATCGCACCACTGCACTCCAGCCTGCGCGACAGAGCGAGACTCCGTCTCAAAATATATATATATTTTATATATATATATATGTGTATATATATATATATATATATATATATATGTATATATATATACAGAAGTGGGATTCTTATTCCATCACAATAAGCTGCCTTTCCTTTGCAAATACAAAATCAAACCATTCAAAAAATCACTTTAATTGTAGGGATTGACAGTATGTTTCCCCTTCTCTATCTCCTTCCCTCTTTTGCGATTTTTTTTTCTGATCACTGTGAATCCACTCAGCAGAGTAATCTCCATTCTTAATCTGTGTGAATTGTGGTGATGAGCTAGTCAGCTCTCTTAAAATCACTAACAAAAAAGTTTTAAATTTCCTAGTTAGTAATACATTTTTAGCATGCCACAAGATACTCTTAGAACAAGGACTTCTGGTCCAGGCATTACGGACTATGATGATTAGTTCTCTGGATTTCTTTAAGCTTTGAAATTAAAAGGTAAAAGTCTAAAATAAATTGGACTTCATACTATTTATACATTTATTAGGTTTGTTAATTATTCTATAGGAAAACAGATGAAAAGCTTTTGTAGAATTCAATTCTGCTTCACCTTATTTAGGGTTACAGGAAGGGAATTATATTGATGTAATTGACAGACTGAATTAACCTCAGTCATCACATGTGATTTTTCTAGAGTTTTTTTAATGGTGCTGACATTCTCTTCAATATTTCCATGCTTAGCTTGGGTTTCTGGGGGAGAGATGAGTAGCTAGTACTACCCATCTAAAACATAATGTTCATTAGTTGGAATAATAATGTGATATGATAGTTTTCAAGATGATGCCCTCAATTTCTTTCCTCCCTGCATGCACATGCTGCTCTTTACATTGACAGCTGGAGTCGAATCTCCAATTTCTTGAATCTGTGCTGGTCACAATGACTTGCTTTACCAATAGGATGGAGCAGAAGTTGTATTCTAGGACCTCCAAGGCTAGGTCTTAAGAAGCTTTGTAGTATTTGCCTGTGTGTCTTGGGACCAACTACCAAGTTGTGAGCACTCCAGATAGCATGGAGAGGTCAGATAGGCATCACACTCAGCAGCCAATATGCACTGCCAGCCATATGAGTGACCCGTCTAGGCTCTTTAGTCTAGTGGAGCCTTCAGGTGAGTTCAGCAGCAGCCAACCAACAGCAACTGCAAGAAAGACTCCAAAAGAGAACTTTTGTAGTGCCCATCAACCCACAAAACCATGAGAAATAACATTATTTAAAATCACTGAACAAATAATAACAATAAACAATATTAAACAATAAATAATTCCTTAAGTTTTGGAATGGCTTACTATTCAGCAAGAGATAGCTAGAACAAGTACTAAATATTGCACAATACTGAATAAGTGTAAGTTTAGTTGTATAATATACTTCTACATTTTAAAGCCATTGACATTTCTGGAAAGAGTGCAAAAGTGAGCACTGATTAAATGGTTTCCAAGATAAGTTGTCTGTTGTATCTCAACATCATCATTTACCAATGGGAGCTGCATTTTGTTTTTGGAAAATATATATATTAATGTTCATTTTAAAAAATATACTAACAATTTTTTAGAAAGGCATACGCTATTTTGAAAAAAATTTGAGCAAACCAGAGAAGTGTAAACTTTAAGGCTCTAATCATATTTATATGCTATTTAACCCACAAATCCAAAGTCTGATGACAAACATGTTTATCTAATACTGATATTTGGATAAATAAGTTAAACTAACAGTTTTCTATTTAAATGATAGGGCTTATAATTGGTATGATGTTGAGATGGCTGCAGTGGATGGGCTCATCACCATAATATTATTTTCTCTTTAACAGTTTTTTAGAATATTAAGAGAGAACCAGAGAGTCTGAAACTGGGTTACACAGCAGTAATAAAATCAGAGTGACACTTACTTTGCAGCAGCGGGACTGGAATTCTTGCTGTTGGGGTTGGCGGCAGCAAACTCAATTATGGGTGTCTCCTGCTTCATGCTTGGATGGTGTGTTGGAACATTTCCTGTTTAGAACTTTCTAACACTTCCTGACTAGAGCTGATTAAAATAGAAACAAACCCCTCTGATTTTGAATTTAGCCTATTTATTGTTATAATTTATTCATATGTTTCTACTTTTTAGACTGTGGCTTTCTTGTAGACAGAAGTCGTATCTTATACCTCTTTTTCTTCAGCAGCAGGGTGCTTGGCACCGAGTTGAATTGTCAGGTTCGTTGAGTAAGTAAAGTAAAATTATACTAGAATTAAACTATTAAATTTATCAATTTTTCTCAGAAAATATATAGCTAAGTATGACGTATGAATCAATTCACTCACTGATTCAACAAACATTTTTTAAGTGACTACAGTATGCTATGAGCTAGGAATATGGCAGTAAACAAATCTCACCTTGTCTCAAACTTCAGTGGGTCCCGGAGTCTCTAGAAGTTTAATTCTTGCTCAATCAGCAATTCCTTTTCACTGAAGACTTGACAAGAAGGTTTGAGAAGGCAAGAGTGTGTGAACTCAGCAGATGTTTGTGATGCACCTGCTGTGTGCCAGAAGCTGTAGTGTCACAGGGTCTGCCTGTGTCTCCTAGGAAAGGTGAAATCTAAGGACAATATTTTAAACAACAAATAATGTCAAGTATGCATTGTGATGGAGAGGGAAAGCGCTGCGTCCCAAGAGTATAAAGGGCACTAAGCCTAGCGTGGGGTCCAGGCGTCTCTGGCATAGTGCCTTCCTAGGTCGTGGTTGTCCCTCCTTGTTGCTCCTGCTGTCTTCTTCAGTTACATCTGCTTCTCTGCATTTCCTCATTTTACAGTGTGTGAGATGCAGTCATCTCTGAACAGGAATAGGCAACTGTGCAACTGTTACGCCATGCTTGATGCTCTGCATTGATGTACACTGGGCCCAGGTTTCCCTAGTGGACTGCTTGGGCCGTTCTTGTCATCTGGCTCTGAAGTCTTTGTTCACAGATGTGCACTTGCCAAATGGGGAAGCCAGAGATCTGGGGTCCTCCGATGAGGCCACTCTCACCCTGCTTATCTTCCCTGACATACCTAACAGATGAAGCTCAGGTGGGCGATGCACCTCAGGCCACAGTCTGGACTGTTGTAACCAAGCGAGTTATAGAGGAACGCCACACTTTGAGACAAATTAAGGAGTCTTTTATTAGCTGGCGACCGAGGGCAGCTAACGCTCAAAATTCTCTTGGCCCTGAGGAAGGGGCTGGTTTTGTTTTTATTCTGTGGTCTAAATAGGGGAGGGGAAAGTTTAACTGAAACAATTTTTACAGAAGCAGAGCTGGCAAATAGTTAAAAAATTAATTGGTTACAAAAGCAGTTACAAAACAAATAAACAGTTCCAGGTGCAGGGGCTTAAACTATCACAAAAAGAAAAATGCAGGGGTTTTGCCTGACATTCACCGAGCGCGTCCCCAGGAGCTGCTGGTGCAGCTTGCCTCAATATCTTATCAGTAAGTGCATTCCTGGACGTGCTTTGAGTCAGTTTACACTAGTTATGCCCTTAAGGGAGGGAGGTAATGGGGGCTGCACTTGAAGAAGCTAAAATGGAGTCTCTCCGGCTCTCTCTCTGCTAGGAGAGAGTCACTCAGGTTAAAACAAGGTAGGGGATCACAGGACCATGTACAATTCTTCAAACTCCAGCTTCAACTCTCTTTCTAATTGCTCTCTTAGGACAGTATATTTAGATCGGAGTAAATGAAAGTAATGTTATTAGGGGATAAGATTAAAATCGATCCCATTTGTAAAAAGGGAAGTAGATTATTTGTGAACTGTAATACATTTTTTTAGTGAAGAATCACCTTAAAACTTGGAACCTGGATACAAGATAATTCCTTCATTCTGCAAGAGTTTAGTAGCAAACTATATGCCAGGACCGTGCTAGGTACTAGGGATACATGGTTGACTATATAGTATAAGATGCCTTGGAGTGTCAGATAGTTTCATATAAATGGCTTATGCAGTATATAGACAGTGTGGTAAAAAGAGACTACTGAGATGCACAGAGGACAGACAATAAAGCGTCTTCGAATGGTAGATAAATGTGTTTGGACTTTTCACTCAGGGCTGTTGAACTGTTGAAGTTTTGGAAGGTCAGTGGTCTCAGAGTTTTGGTGTTTTCAAGCTCTGCTAAGTACTTTGTTTCTAGCTGATGATTGGCCACCATTACTGATCATCTATTGGCTCTGTCTGATTCAGCAATCCCACCACTGAGTATTTATGCAAAGGAAAAGAAATCAATGTATCAGAAAGATAACTGTACTTGTGTATTTGTTGCAACACTATTCACAGTAACACAGATATAAAATCAACCTAATGTCCATCAACAAATGACTGGAGAAAGAAAATGTAGAAAATATACGCAATGAAATACTATTCAGGCAAAAAAAACAATAGAATCATAACTTTTGCAAACACATGGATGGAACTGGAGGCCATTGTTGTAAGTGAAGCAAGCCAGACACAGAGTAAACATCGTATTTTATCACTCATAAGCGGGTGCTAAAAGATGTGTAGATATTGACGTAGAGAGTGTAATGATAAGGCAGACTCAGCAGCGTGAGGGGATGGAAGGGGTGAACAGTGAGAAATTACTTAATGGGTACAATGTGCGTTATTCTGGTGATGGATACCTAAAAGCCCTGACTTCACCACTATGCCATCCATGCTTACAGCAAAATTGCACTTGGAACCCTTAAATTTATACACAAAAAGTCTTAGACCCCTCTCTCTTCTCTCATAAGACTCAGAGCTCAGTGATCCCCTTCGATCTCCTCAGCCTGCTGAGTTTTGATTTTCCTACCTAAGGTGATTTTGGGCAGAGACAAGGGAGTGTTTCAGGAAGACGTTCTCAGGCACACACTTCTAAAGTAACATAGGAGGCTCTTCTAGTGGCCTTTATCTAGTCACTGCTTTAAGCAAGGAATAAAACATCTGTGGCTAAAATTCATAAAACTGTGTTTCCCACCCACCCTTCAGACCTGACAGAAGAGATTTTAGGACTTTAAGGGAACAGCTTTTTCCTGACCCAAAAGGGCACAGTAGTGCAAAGGCCAACGTCACGTAAGTACATTTTCCCCATCTGTAAAATAACTTTCAGGTAGTATTCCCACAGCTGGAATCAGTAGAATGTTTTGACTGAGGTATTGGAAAAGCCTATGAGCTCATTATCATTTGAACATATGAGTAATGGAAAATTTAGGCAGAATTTTATTTGAAAGGATTATTTATGCAATTTTTAATTAACTGATTTATATTGCTGTTATTTCAAACAATAAAAATCAGGTCATTGTGTTGTAAGCTAGAAATATGTACAATAACACATGGTCTTGATTATCTCACATAATGAATTGAAGATTAAAGCAAAATAATTTATCTTAGGGAATTTTGTGACAGTTTCTCTTTCACTTTGCTTTAATAATGACTTCAAACTGTTGTACATATATAGAGAACTCCTGACTAAAGAGAATTTTTTTTGTCTATTGTGCTATGTTTCTGTAACTTTTTAAGACCTAGAGGAACATACATTTAGTCTCAGTTGGCCAACTAAATGTTATGGAGTCAGTTTCCGTGTTATGTGCTGAGCATTGAAGGAACAGTGGAGACAAGGTTGCTGCCCTCGCAGAGTCTACGGAGAAAACCTGATGAAGTGTGGCAGGGAACATGCTGGGAGCATCCCAGGATGCCAAAAGCCCACACAGATGGAACACCTGCCTTAGAACCAGGGAGGGTCAGACAAGGAGAGTTGTCAGGAAAAACAAGGGAAGTTTAATCTGCAGGAATAGAAACACACTTGAGAAATCCATGGTGAAAGAAAAGAGAATGGCTGAGCAGCAGCAGATTGTCAAAAAGGAAATCAAGAAGGAGCAGCCAAAGAGATTGAAGGAGAACCAGGAGAAAGAAGGTGACACTGAAGCCAAGGGAAGGAAAGTGTTTCAACATTTCTGGGAAAAAATGACATGCTCTGTCTTAACCTTGCTGTTTTATGAGTCATATAGCCACATTCCAGGTTCTGAGAAGTCCAGCACAAAAGATGTTTCTTTCAATTTGCTTAACCCAGCATTTGCCAGAATAATCTGGGCTCAGTGTGAGTGTGTGTGCGTGTGTGTGCATGTGTGTTCTACTAATATCTCACTGAGGGTAGTGCTTTATACAACATAATTTTTAAAATACTGGTTATATCTATCTTTTTGTTCAGCTGCAGCACTTACAAAGGTCAACTTTGATCATGTGCCTTCGTTACTAAAGGAAACAAAACAAACTAATGAATAAAGCCCACCCGGCAGTGGCTCCTCACTAACTGTAGGATGGAGCCCACCTGGCTTGGCCTGAGTGCCCTGTGCTGACCTGGCCGTGATGTCTTCTGCCTGCTGCTTTGCCTCCCCTTTCCTCCTGGAGAAGGTAGAGATCCTCTGAGCTTTGGCCTGTCTGGAACATGTGTCCTTCCCCTCATGTGGCCCATGTTTTCCTGAGTCCACTTTAATCTTGTTTAAGGGTATAGAACTTCCGTTAAAGCTTTTGGTCCGGTCTCACTCTGTGTGCTGTCTTCCTGACCCTTCTACAGTGTACATGCTTTACTGATACATTAATTATGCTATACCAGCCAAGGTTTTTACTTCTATATAATTTTATATCATCATCTTTTTTCTTAGAGCTTAGTTCACTTATTTATTCAGTCGTTCCACAATATAATTACATGTCATATAATTTCATATTTATTTTCATTGGTGTTTATATATCTTTTCTGTAAAAATGGAGGCTTTCTAAATAGATCTTCATTAGTGTTGGAAGAACAAGGTTTTAAGTCTCGGTCTCAGCCAAAAGGTGTTTCCCGCATTACCAGGAGGGAAAGAAACACTTGCATTGTTGCACTAGATATTCTTACAGAGAAAGAGAACCATGTGTAATGGAAAATTGTGAACTTTGCCTCAGGGAGACCAGGTTGATTCACTGAGAAAGTTTGAATTGGTTTAGAAAGCATAGTTCTGAGTTTTCTAGAAGGACAAAAGTTAGAGTAGGGCATAAGAAGTAACGCCCATATCGAAAAATTAGAAATATCTCAAATTAACAACCTAATATCACAACTGAAAGAATTAAAGAAGCAAGAAGAACTCAACTACAAAGCTTATAGACGTCAAGAAATAACTAAAATCAGAGCTGAATAGAAAGAAATTGAGACATGAAAAGTTCAAAAGATCACTTAATCAAGGTTTTTTGAAAAAATTAATAAGATAGGGCACTAGATAGACTAATAAAGAAGAAAAGAGAGAAGATTCAAATAAACAAAATTAGAAGTGATGAAGGGAATGTTACCACTGACCCCAGAGAAATAAAAATAACAACCAGCAACTACTATGAGCACCTCTACACACACAAACTAGAAACCCTAGAAGAGATTAATAAATTCCTGGACACATATACTCTCTCAAGACTGAACCAGGAAGAAATTCAGTCTCTGAGCAGACCAATTATGAGCTCCCAAAATTGAATCCTTAACAAATAGCCTATCCACTCCCCAAAAAAGCCCAGGACCTGATAGATTAACAAATTTTAACACATGTACAAAGAAGAGCCAGTACCAGTCCTACTGAAACTATTTCAAGAAATAGAGGAGGAGGGACTCTTCCCCAACTTGTCCTACGAGGCCAGAAACATCCTGATACCAAAGCCTGGCAGTGACACAACAAAAAAAGAAAACTTAAGGCCAGTATCCTTGATGAACATCCATTCAATAATCCACAACAAAATACTTGCAAACTGAATCTAGCAACACATCAAAAGGTTAATTCACCATAGTGAAGTAAGCTTCTTCCCTGGAATGGAAGGTTGGTCCATCATGGGCAAATCAATAAAATGTGATTCATAACATAAATAAAACTAAAGATAAGAACCACGTGATTGTCTCAACAGATGCAGAAAAGGCTTTCAGTAAAATTCAACAAAGCTTCATGTTAAAAATTCTCAATTAAATGAGGTATCAAAGGAACATACCTCAAAATAATAAAGGCCACCTATGACAAACTCACAGCCAACATTATACTAAATGGGCAAAATCTGGAAGCATCCTCCTTGAAACCCACACAAGACAAGGATGCCCTCTCTCACCACTCCTATTCAACATAATTTTAGATGTCTTTTCTGGAGCAAACAGACAAGAGAAAGAAATAAAGCGTATTTAAATAGAAAGAGAAGTCCAACTACCTCTGTTTGCAGACAACATAATTCTCTATCTAAACCCTATAGTTGTGACCCAAAACTCCTTAACTGATAAACAACTTCCACAAAGTTTCAGGACACAAAATCAATGTACAAAATTTGCTAGCATTCCTATTCACCAAGAAGAGCCAAACTAAGAGCCAAATCAGAGAGGCAATTTTATTCACAATTTCCACAAAAAGAATAAAGTACATATGAATACAGCTAACCAGAGAGGTGAAAAATCTCTACAATGAAAATTACAAAACACTGCTCAAAGAAGTCAGAGAAGACACAAATAAATGAAAAATCATTCCATGTTAATGGAGAGAAAGAATTAATATCATTTAAAAGGTTGTACTGTCCAAAGCTATTCCTATTAAACTACCAGTGACATGCTTCACAGAAGTAGAAAAAAGCTATTTAAAAATTCATATAGAACCAAGTAAGAACCTAAGTAGCCAAGGCAATCCTAAGCAAAAAGAACAAAGCTTGAGGCATCACATTACCCGACTTCAAACTATACTACAGCACTATAATAACCAAAACAGCATGGTACTAGTACAAAAACAGACACATACACCAGTGGAACAGAATAGAGAGGTTAGAAGTAAGACCACATACCTACAACTATCTAATCTTTGACAAAGCTGGCAAAAACAAGCAATGGGGAAAAGATTCCCTATTCAATAAATGGTGCTGGGATAACTGGCTAGCCATATGCAGAAGATTGAAGGTGGACTTCTTCCTTATACCATACACAAAAATCAACTCAAGATGGATTAAATACTTAAATTGAAAACCCAAAACTATAAAAGCCCTGGAAGACAACCTAGACAATACCATCCTGGACATAGAAAGGGGCAAAGATTTCATGATAAAGACACCAAAAACAACAAATAAAACTATTGACAAGTGGGATCTAATTAAACTTAAAAGCTTCTGCTCAGCAAAAGAAATTATCAATAGAGTGAACAAACAACCTATAGAATGAGGAAAAAATATTTACAAACTATGTATCTGACAAAGATCTAATATTCAATATAAGGAACTTAAATTTACAAGAGAAAAACAAAAAAAACCCTATTAAAAAGTGGCCAAAGCCCTGACTTCTGAATGGCACTTCTGGACCCAGCCAGGGACTGAGGGATCTCACTGCCCTAAAGGAAAGAACACAGGCCTGTCTGGCTTTGCCACCTGCTAATTGTAGAGACCAAAGGCCTTGAGTGTACATAGGCAGTCGTCAGAAAGTGCATGCAGCAGGACTTGAGCAAGACCCGTGCTGTGCTAGCTTCAGGTCTGATCCAGGACAGTCATAGTGGTGGTAGCCAGGGGTGCTTGTGTCTTTCTTCTCCCAGCTTTAGGTGGCTTAGAACAGAGAGAAAGACTCTGTATCTTTGAGAGAAAATAAGGGTAGGGAAAAAGAGTCTCTGGCTAGTAAACCAGAAAATTCTCCTGGATTTTGTTGAAGGCTGTCAAGGTGGTACTTCTCTGAGTCTGGAAGAATTACAGCATTATTGGGTATAAGGTCCCCCGTAAAGCAGATATGTCTTAGACCACAACACCCAACTCTTTTCAAATATGTGAAAAGCCTTCCCAAGAAAGACAGCTACAAATAAGCCCAGACAGTGAAGACTACAATAAATACTAACCTTTTCTCTCTTTAAATTTTATTTTTTAAACCTCTCATATAGTGCTGCATGCCCAAGATTTTAATGTCCAGACCCTGAAGAACATCTACTAGCATCAACACCATCCAGGAAAACATGAATTCACCAAGTGAACTAAATAAGGCACTGGGGACAAATCCTGGAGAAAAAGAGATATGTGATGTTTCAGATGGAGAATTCAAAAGAGCTGTATTTAAAAAAAAAAAACTGAAACAAATTTAAGATAACAAAGTAAAGAAATTCCAAATTTTATCAGCTAAACTCAACAAAGAGATTGGAATAGTTACAGCAAATTAAGCAGAAATTCTGAGCTGAAAAATGCAATTGGCATGCTGAAGAATGCATTAGAGCCATGTAATAGCAGAATGGATCAAGCGAAGAAATAGTGAGCTTGAAGACAGGCTCTTTGAAAATACATATAAGAGACAAAAGAAAAAGAATAAAAACAACCAATCATGCCGACAGGATCTAGAAAATAGCCTCACAAAGACAGATCTAAGAATTATTTGTTTTAAAGAAGATGTAGAGAAAGAGGCAGGGGAGGATCTAGAAAATAGCCTCAGAAAGACAGATCTAAGAGTTATTGGTTTTAAAGAAGATGTAGAGAAAGGGGCAGGGGTAGAAAAATTTATTCAAAGGGATAATAACAGAGAACTTTCCAAACCTAGAGAAAGATATCCATATCCAACTACAAAAATGTTATAGAACATTAAGCAGATTTAACCCAAAAAAGACTACTTCAAAGCATTCAATAGATCTTCCAAAAGTCAAAGATAAAGACAAGTTCTAAAGGAAGAAAGAGAAAAGAAACAAATAACATACTGGGGAGCTCCAACATGTCTGGCAGCAGACTTTACAGTGGAAACTCTACTAGCCAGGAAAGAGAAGCAATAAATATTTAAAGTACTAAAGGAAAAAAACTTTTACCTTAGAATAGAATATACAGTGAAAATTTTCTTCAAATAAAAAGAATACTGACTTTTTCAGACAAACAAAAGCTGAAGTATTTTATGAATACCATACCTGTCCTAAAGGAATGCTAAAGGGAGTACTTCAATCAGGAAGAAAAGGACATTAACGAGCAATAAATGATCACCTAAAAGTAAAAAAAAAATCCTCACTGCTAATAGGATACAAAACAAAACAGAATATTATAACACTATAGATGGGTGGTGTGTAAACTACTCTTATTCAAGGTAGGAATACTAAATAATATCCAATCAAAAGTAATAACTACGACAACATTTCAAGACATAGCACAATAAAATATAAATAGAAACAACAAAAAGTTAAAAAGTTAAGGGATGAGCACGACCCGTCCTGAGCCGGCAGATGTGGTGGAAGCTCCAGAGCTCGGGAGCTCGCGGAAGGACTGGAGCGTGGGCGGAAGGGAGGCCGCCCTGAGAGCCGGAAGCTTAGGCAGGGGACTGAGGCCTCCGGCGCCCACCAGCAACAGCAGGGCGGCGCCACATTGGTCCTGCGCCAGGCCTGACCGCCGGTGACGGCGGGACTCTCTGGGAGGCCGGCGGTGCTCGGGTGTAGAGGGAGACAGCTGCCCGGAGGCACGGGCGAGCGTCTCTGGGGGTCCCGGATCCGAGACCCGCGGCCCCGGGGTGGCGGTGACGCCTGGAGTCGTGCGGGCGTGGCTGGGCCCGGCTCTTGGGGCAGCCAGGCGCCGCTGCTGGCGTCTAGGCCACACCACCCTGAACGGGCCCTCTCGCCTCTGATCTGTTGAAGCTAAGCAGGGTCGGGCCTGGTTAGTACCCGGATGGGATTCCGCCTGGTAATAACGGGTACCGTAGGCTTTTGGCTTCCTGCTCCCTCCCTCTTTCCCCCTTTTGTCTCCGTGCTTCCCAACTGCCCCCCGCCTCTGCTCCCCCTTGACCACCCCCGCGCCCCAGCCGAAGCCCAGGACCTCGTCCTGAAGATCCGCTGCTGCAGCACCGACAGGCAGCAGCATCCCACCTTTTCCCACTCGCAGCAGCCCCACCAGGAGCCTGGCTCCAACCCTGGCGGGACTGGACCGACCCCGAGGGCGAAGGCGCGGGTTCCCTGAGGTCCCGGGTGTCTTCACGCTTCCCGGACTCCCAGGCAATTCTATTCATTCTTCCAGTGACGCGGCAACCGTCCAAGCCGGGGGAAGGGACGGGCAGGGACAGCGGGTCCCACAGACCCCAGCGAAGACCTCCACTCCAGAACCCGTGGGCTGCTTTCCCCAGGGGAAGGACATTGTCTTCGCCAGCCACGAGGAAATCCGTCCCTGTGCACCCGCTTTCCCAATGCCACAGACTTCGTGTGAACTCCAGTCCTGAGGACAGGAGAGAGACCTAGGCCTCGCCCCATGGACACTCTCGGCGCCAAGGCTCCCGCCAGACAAACGAGCACACTCTACAAATGTCAGGGCCCACCGCACCAAGGAGACAGAAGGAAGCAAACAAAGGAAGGACCTTATGAAACGCACCCCCAAAGCAACCAACCAATTCAAGAAAAAAAAACACACACGTCTCAGGGCTCCGTTGGTTTTCCTGGGTGGGGGGCCCTGACCCCCTGTTCTAGCCCGGCCCAAGCACCCTCCACCCCACCCCGGCCTGCTGAAAGGTGCCCTGTCTACCTGAGCAGAGCCTCCCTCTCCAAGGCTCTGTCGCTGTCGCTCTACAACTCCCTCACCCTCTCCCTTTCTCTACTTCCACCTCCACTTCGCTCTCTACTGTGGGGCTCTCTCTTCCCCCCTCTGTCTCGCCTCCCCCTTCTCTGTCTCTCTCTCTATCGCTGTCTCTCTGTCCCTCTGGTTCTATTTCTCCATCCCTCTCTCCCTTGCTCTCCTTCTGTAGCAGGAGGAGCTGCAGACAAAACCCCTCAGACACCGAGTTGTAGAAGGGAGGGCTTTATTCAGCTGGGAGCATAGGCAGACTCACGTCTCCAAAAACCTAGCTCTCTGAGTAAGCAATTCCTGTCCCTCTTAAGGGCTTACAACTCTAAGGGGGTCCGTGTGAGGGGGTCGTGATGGATTGAGGAAGCAGAGGGTACGGGACGGGGGTCTGCATGCACCGGTAATTAGATCAGAACAAAACAGGACAGGGATTTTCACAGTGCTTTTCTATATAATGTCTGTAATCTATAGATAACATAATCGAGTAGGTCAGGGGTCGATCTTTAACTACCAGGCCCAGGGTGTGGCGCAGGGCTGTCTGCCTGTGGATTTCATTTCTGCCTTTTAGATTTTACTTCTTTCTTTGGAGGCAGAAATTGGGCATAAGACAATATGAGGGGTGGTCTCCCTTCAAGCTCTCTGTGTCTGTGTCTTTGTGTGTCCGTGTGTGTGTGCACGGGTGTGGTGTGTGTGTGTCCGCGCGCGTGCACCCGTGTCTATCCGTGTGTGTGTCAGGGGGGGTTTGCTCGTGGTAGTGGTGGGGTGTGTCTGGGTGTCCGTCAGCCCCTCTTTCCCGGGATGAGGCTGCCGGGGCTCTAGTGCTAGCACGGGGCAAAGCAGAGCCTTCCTGCCCCGTTGGCCACGGCGGGTCCTCGTCGGAACAAGCGACGATGGTGTGGGCGTTGTGAGAAAAAGGGCCCGCGGGGCTGGGCCGGCTGTTAGCCCCTGGGCAGCCCTGGCGGCTCTGGGTGTGTGGGGCAAGAGGGGGCCTTGCAGGAGGGGCGGCGAGGAATCCAAAATAATTTTTCCGCGGCAAGGCGGAGGACCAGAGGGTACCCCAGGACCCTGGGCCCTGGGCCCTGACGCCTCGGAGCACACCCCGTCCTGAGCGGGCCCCAG
Organism: Homo sapiens; assembly: GCF_000001405.40. NCBI lineage: Eukaryota > Metazoa > Chordata > Mammalia > Primates > Hominidae > Homo > Homo sapiens. The sequence goes on along the minus strand of NC_000020.11, from coordinate 30,814,191 downwards.
GTGTTGGAAGCTCTGGAGCTCCAGAGCCTGGGGAAGGCCTGGAGTGTCAGCGAGAGGGTGGTCGCATGGAGAGTCCAGAGCCCTGGCAGGGGATGGAGGCCTCTGGCACCGCGTAGGTCTCGCGCGTGGTCTGGCCGCCAGCGACAGCTGGACGCTCTGGGAGGTCGGCAGAAAGCGCAGCGCGGCGACTGGTGGTGCTTGGGCGTAGAGGGGGAGAGCAGCCCGGCCACGGGCAAGCGGCTCCGGGGTGCCTGATCCCAGCCTCGCGGCCCCGGGTTGGTGGTGACGCCTGGAATCAGGCGGGCGTAGCTGGACCGGGCTCTTGGGCCAGCCAGGCGCCACTGCCATTGTCTAAGGCCATACCACCCGGAAAACGAGAGACCCAAGCCGCGGCCCGTGGGCACGCTCAGCGCCACTGCTCCTGCCACAGTGAGGGGCGCACTCTACAACTTTCAGGGCCCACAGCACCAAGAGGACAGGGAGGAGCCAAAAAAAGAATGACGCTACGAAACGCACCCCCAAGGCCACCAACCAATCCAAGTAAAAACACGTCTCAGGGCTCCGTTGATTTTCCCGCAGTGGCGGCCCTGCCCCCCTGTTCCAGCCCGGCCCAGTCACCCTCCACCCTACCCTGGCAAAGGGGACCCTGTCTACCAGATAGAGCCTCCCTCTCCAAGGCTCTGTTGCTCTCCCTCTGTAGCTCCCTCACCCTTTCCCTTTCTCTGCTTCCTTCTCCACCTTGCTCTCTCTCTCTCTCTCTCTCAATCTCCCCAGTTCCTCTCTATCTCTCTCTCGATGGCTGTTTCTCTCTCTCCTTCCGTTTCTATCTCTCCATCCCTCTGTCCCTTGCTCTCCTTCAAGTTGTCTGTGTCTTTGTGTGTCTGTGTGTGTGCTTGTGTTCCCGCGCGTGCGCCCCTGTGCGTCTGTGTGTTTGGGAGTGGGTTTGCCAGTGATTGTGGCGGGGAGTATCTGGATGTCCATCAGTACCTTTGTCCCGGGATCAGGCTGCCAACTCTATTGCCAGCGCCTGGGTGTCACAGTTGCCGTGATAGTCTCACACACGCAGTTGTGTGGATCTTGTTCATTTTCACGTAGACAACGAGAGCGAAACCACAGAGAAAAGAAACATCCCGTACATCACGGCCTGACGATGGATTCTTGTTTCCTGCAAAGTGGGGAGTCTCCAATATAGCCTGTTTGAAAACTGGAAAGGAGAGCACCGACATGATGCTGGTCTTCCACGCATTCCTGGAAGTTTCCGGGGCCCCACAGAGCTCGGGAAACAAACAGTCAACATGGTCATGCTTTCGGGGGGCAGAAACTTGAGCAACAGGCACCTTTGCAGAGAGCAAAGAACGTGGAATCCAGAATCACGCTTCAGTTGGCCTCAGTGTGACTCCTGTGTGGATGGGACTATCCACCTCGAGCTCTGTTGCAGGGCTCAACGTGGGGATATGTCATCTGTGAACCATGTGGATGAAAAGCAGACAACCACCTGAGTCTCAACTCATTGCTTTCCGGGGAATTCGCTCATTCCTTCGGAAACGGAATTGGTCTGAATTGCTCCGGGATGAAGTAACCCAGGCTGGCGATCCAGAGGGCCGCTCATCGCCCCGCCGGCCAACGGGGCTGTGGGCCCAGCACTTAGCCCGCAATGGGAACCCAACATTTTCCTGGAGTGCTGGGTCCTGTTGGCTCTGGAGGCATAAGACCGTTTTTGTCTCTGCCTTCCGTTCTCTGTTTCTTGCTCCTTTTGTCCCTCGGTCCATCCTTCCCTCTGTTCTTCCCTCCCTCCCCCGGGTTTTTCCTCCCTTTCTCCCTTCCTCTTTCTCTCCCTTCCGGGGTCCCTCCTTCCACCCATCCTCTCCTAGCTCCATCCTTCCATCTCACTCTCTCTCCGTTCCTGTCCTCATCTCTGCCTGCCTTCCCTTTTGCCTGGAATGGGCAGCACCCCGGTTTGCACGGGGTCTCAGGTCTACATTTAGTTGCAAGGCCCTCCATGGTGCTGGCAAGGAGGCTGATGGGACAGGGGTTGGCAAGTGATGGTGAGCGAAGAGGCAGAGGAGTCGAGCCGCAGAAAGGAGAACTGGCCTGGCTTCTGCCACGGCCCAGTGTTTCGCGGACTGAGGTCTCCGCCAACCCGACTGAAGAACGCGGGGAAAAAGGGATGAGAGCTCCGCCTGGGCTAGTCAGAAAACCCAGGCTGCTGCCTGGAAACCCGCACATGCGCAGTAGACAACCCACCTCCCTGTACCTGGACCGGCCCTGGGATCCCCGGGATGCTCAGGAATTC